>NC_000009.12:38494848-38646363 GCF_000001405.40 Homo sapiens | reverse complement strand
TTTTTTTTAAGTCAGTGCATGAATTTTTCTTTTCTTGTTTCCGCAGATGGACAAACAGATGGACCCTGCAGCCAGGTGGAATGTCAGAGGTGGAGGGGAAACCCTGGGACACTGATGGGCCTGGATCCTCTCCAGCCTCTCCCCTGCAGTGTCCACACAACTGCCCTGAGTGGTAGCGTCTTGTTTAGGCACTTCTGAGAGCTGAGCTGGATGAGTGCACTTGGGACACTTGGTGACAGGTACTTGCAAGCATGATCAGGGTCAGCCTCAATACAGGCAGAAATCCTGGGTATTTAAAAATACTTTTTTGATTCAGATCATGGTGTGATTGCAGAGCAACACTGTGTTGAGAACTGGAGGAAGGCAGAGCTGTGGTGCGGGCAGCTCTTCTCAACTCTTTAAAGCAAGGTTTGCTCACCAAGGTGCTGACTCATGTCTCTCACCCCTGCCCATATATAGCATTACAAAGTGAACAGGCCAGGTGTGGTGGCTTACGCCTGTAATCCCAGCACTTTGGGAGGCCGAGGCGGGCAGATCACGAGGTCAGGAGATCGAGACTATCCTGGTTAACACAGTGAAACACCATCTCTACTAAAAATACAAAAAAAAAAAAAAAAAAAAAAAAAAAAAATTATCCAGGCTTGGTGGTGGGCGCCTGTAGTCCCAGCTACTCGGGAGGCTGAGGCAGGAGAATGGCGTAAACCTGGGAGGTGGAGCTTGCAGTGAGCCGAGATTGCACCACTGCACTCCAGCCTGGGTGACAGAGACTCTGTCTCAAAAAAAAAAAAAAGTGAACAAAAGGCCAGGCACAGTGACTCATGCCTGTAATCCCAGCACTTTGGGAGGCCAAGACGGGGAAGATCACGAGGTCAGGAGTTCAAGACCAGCCTGACCAACATAGTGAAACCCCATCTCTATTATAAATACAAAATATTAGCTGGGCATGGTGGCACGCACCTGTAATCCCAGCTACTCAGGAGGCTGAGGCAGGAGAATGGCCTGAACCCGGGAGGCGGAGCTTGCAGTGAGCCGAGATCTCGCCACTGCACTCCAGCCTGGGCGACAGAGCAAGACTCCATCTCAAAAAAAAAAAAAAAAAAAGATAAATCCCCATCTCTACTAAAAATACAAAAATTAGGTGGCCTTTGGTGTCACGTGCCTGTAATTCCAGCTACTCAGGAGGTTGAGGCGGGAGAATTGCTTGAACCCAGGAGGCAGAGGTTGCAGTGAGCCAAGATTGTGCCACCGCACTCCAGCCTGGGCCGCAGAGGGAGACCCTGTCTCAAAATTAACTAATTAATTAATGAATAAGTAAATAAAATAAAACATAATATAATAATAAATAAAAGCCCCAATCTAGGAAGAACATGAAAACTGAGCACTCCTGAAGTGAAAGGCAATCTCTACAGAACATTCTTCTGTTTTGTTGGAGTCAAGGTCTTGCTATGTTGCCCATGTGGGAGTGCAGTGGCTATTCACAGGGGCAGCCACAGGACACTATGGCCTTAAACTCCCGGGCTCAGGTGATCCTCCTGCCTCAGCCTCCCAAGTATTTGGAACCACAGGCACACACCACCATGCCTGACTCAGAACATTATTCTTAAAGGTATTATCCAGGAATGTGGGGCAAAGGCATGTGGGGGAAGGGACATCTGTGCTATAATGAGACTGGCTAACACTCAGTGAATGCCGTGTATCTGCTGGGGTTCTGAGCACTTTGTATGCATTATCTTATTAAATTCCTCACACCAAAAAAAAAAAAAAGAAGGAGATATTAGCCAGGAAACAGAAAAGAGCATTCATAAAACAGACAGCATTTACAGCACTAGCTCAGTGTTAACAATGAAAAACTATTCCATTATTGAGGCACAAGTTTCAAATCAGTAACATATTCCTATTGCTGTAGGAAGGGGGGTTTAGTCAGGTGTGTCATATGAGCACCAGAACTTTTCAAGGTGTCACAGCCAGTTATCTGTCACAAGGAATTTCAGCTTCAGGATTTGCATTTCCTCAGAGGAAGACGCTGTGGACATTTGTGGTCATGAACTTTTGAGTGGCAATAGCCCAAACAGGTCCAGTGTCTATAAGCTCTGAACAGGCAGCATCACTGTGAATTACCATTAAACTTGAATGCCAAATGATGGTGTCTCACTCCACATCCCAGCATCACGACATAACCTCTGTAACTTTCTGTACAACTTTACAATGAAATTGTATTTCAGTGACTATTTTAATATTGGATTAAACTTTCCAAAGAGTTACATAACATTCAGGTCTATTTTTCTTATCAGTAAGAATTATGCTGAATTACAAAACCCATCACCACAGTGCTCAGCTTTAAGAAAATTAAACACACAGTAATCTTGCCAATGTCAATCAAAACCAAAACTTCAGAATGCCATGGTGTTTATGCAACCAATCTAGGTTTTAGATACAAGTGCCAGCTGTTTATCCCACGAACCATTCTTGCTAGGCTGAGGCTGTGAAAAATCGCAAGACAATGTACAATTCTTTTTTTTTTTTAATCACACAAAGGGATTTACGTGGATGGTACAGGGTGACACTGAACAGATTGTGAGGCATGGCAGACACAGTTCTCTCCCTCCCCAGCATCTCCTGCATCTCCCTGGTTTCCCGATGTCCCCAGAGTGAGATTGTCCCGAAGTCACTGCATGGTGGGAGTGCTGTCTTTATAAGACTCTTCATTCAGTGTATCCAACTCAGCAATTGCTTCATCAAATGCCACGTTTGCCAGGCTGCAGGCCTTTTCAGGAGAGTTTAGAATCCCGTAGCAAAAGACTGAGAAATTAAGTGCCAGGCCCAGTCGAATTGGGTGTGTAGGCTGCATATCTTTCTTACTAATTTCAGATGTTTCCTGGTAAGCCTGCTGGGAGTTCAACAGTGTGGTTTGTTTATTGTCTCCAGACGCCACCCCAGAAAGATACCCGAAACAATCTCCTTTCATTTTCAAGGAGAACGCCTTGCTTTCAGGTTGTGTAGCATGGGGAATAAGAGACTTGTCCAACAGCTCCGGAACCTCATTGCAGATGTCCAGCAGCTCTGCCTCTGTCTTCCATGGTACTCTTTGCCCATCTGCTGCTTCTCATTCCTCCTGTTCTCTGCTCAGTGCTGGAGATGAGAATCCAGGAAGAACAGTGGGCCCCACCGTATTCTTGTAGGCGGCAGAGGGCAGATTGCTGTCTTCAGCTGGGGGCGCATGCCCCTGTGGCATGGCTGCCTTCCCGGCTGCAGCCACATCATCACCGCGCTCAGCCTGCTCAGCGGGCCTGGCTTTCTGTACCAGCACACTTTTATCCATTGTCAGTTCCAAGCACAGCTCTGAGCTTGGTGACCACTACCTTCCCAAGCTGACTCCTTAGGCCGCTGCAGTGGCTGTGGCAGCGGCAGCTACCCCAGCTCCAAAATCAGCGGTGGCTGCTCCACTTCCCAAAAACAGCCTCTCTTTGATGAGCTACTATCATGTGTTGCCCGCAGCACAGCCCATCTGAAAAACTAAATAAAAATGAGCAGAAACAAATGAGCCCCAAGTTGCCAACTCTCTGGAAAATTCCGAAGACTGCCAGCAGGTGTCACTTCCAGGTGTGAGAAAAATAGAAGTGTCTGGAAAAGGATGGGATGTGGCAACGAGAATGGCGAACTCAAAGGGAACCAGGTGTGCCAGGGCAGCTGGTAGCCACGGCAGGGCGAGGGTGTGGGTGGTTCCTGTGTTCCTCTGAGTCCCTGTCTCACCAATAGGCCACACAGGATGGTCTCCCTCTAAATGTTAATCTCGAGGTGACGAGAGTGGCATTCGGACATCAGAGCACTGATGGTGGGCCATTTCCTGCAAGCCCCACTCACCCCTGCATCTAATAAGCCCCACGGCTCTGGGCTGATGGTCATTCCTAAGTGATCCCAGCTCACTACAGGAAAGGGGCCCACACTCCATCTGTCCTAGAACAGCTGCCACCTCTTGGGCAGCCCAGGCTAGGAACACCCCGCCAGAGTGCGCATGTCTGACCATATCATAGTTTGTCATGGTAGGAATAATTGAACTAGCTTTCCTTGGGCCTTTTTTGGATTTTCAGAAAGATTAGGGCATTCCATCTTTTTATTTCCTCCTTTCCCATTTCTCAAATGTGAAATTCAATTCTCTACCCCCTGCAGTGTGAATTGTATAATGCAAGCCAACAGCCCCATCTAGTGCACTCCTCTCCAACTTCTGCAAAATGACTCTGTGGCCAGTCCTCCCAGACAAGGAGAGGTGCCAGATATGTGCTTTTATTGCCCTGTCAATCAGACATAAGAAACATGAGGAGAGACGGGAGGATGGCTTGAGCCAGGGAGGTTGAGGCTGCAGTGAGCCATGATTATGCCACTACACTCCAGCCTGGACGACAGAGTGAGACCTAGTCTGGAAAAAAAAAAAAAAAAAAAGAAGAAAAGAAGCATGAGGACCTAATTCAGTTTTCAGTGTTAGAATAAATAGCATTTATTTTCTGATAAAATTGCACATCACCCTTGAGCTATACCCCATGTACCCTGTTTCCATGGTTAGCACGAATGGTGGTGGACCACACCTGTTCTGTCCTGAGGCACGTCAGGCATTCCCCGGAGCCCCCAGCTCTAGGAGGTGGGTCACAGGGGTCATCACGAGGTCTGCGCTCCGAGAGAGAAAATCCCCCACGGGGAATATCATGATTGACCCCAAATCACCATCGTGCTCAGCTCAGAATGCATTTGAGAGTTCAAGGAGGCACTTTGGGCTAAAGTGAAAGATCCATACTAGAGCCAGATCAAGTCGAAGAGGGATTTTTGTGTCAAGATCCAAGCATGCCTCACCAGGCCTGATGATAGCGCTCTGAAGTTATGTTCACTTTCTTACCTCCGTGCGCTGGCTTTACTTCTCTTCGTCTCTTGGTCAGCTGAATTTCTGTGTTTCCCGAACCACAAGGGAGACCTGGCTTTCCACAGCTCCCGGGTTCCCCGGGGCTCTGTTCTAGGAAGTGAACCCTGGGGCAGGAGTAGGGGAGACAGCTGCAGACAGCACAAAGTTAGGCACTAACTCAGTGCAGAACTCAGCAGAGTGCTAGCCCAGCGTGTTTTCTCTCTCCTTTCACCCCTTAGAGACTCCCACTCCTGGGAACATCACACACCAGGGCCTGTCAGGGGGTGCGGAAAAGGGGAGGGAGAGCATTAGCACAAATACCTAATGCATGTGGGGCTTAAAACCTAGATGACGGGTTGATAGGTGCAGCAAACCACCATGGCACATGTATACCCGTGTATATAACAAACCTGCATGTTCAGCACATGTATCCCAGAACTTAAAGTAAAATCTAAAAATAAAAATAAATAAGTAAAGACCCGCTCGTGCCATAAATGGTTCCTGCAGTCCACAGGCGTGTAAAGTCGGTGTTTCCTCGGTCCTCTCAGCTTCCCTTTCCTCAGTACGGGCTTCGTTTATTCCTAAGGCCTCTGGGCTTCCCCATCAGTGGGGAAGGTGACCGCTCTGATACCAGATCCAATGCCTCCAAGCTCTTGAACCCCCGCAGAAAGGAAAGATGGCCAGAAGCCAAGTGGAAAGCAGGCTTCTTTGGATGCCCTTCATTTTTACCGAAAGCTTGTTTTTAAATAATCTTTCGCATTAATCTGAAAGCATAGACTTATAAAGCATCAGGAGAATCATAGGATTTTTCTTACTTTGAAAACTGAAAACAAGCAACATGCAAAACTGGCCAGTCAGAGGAGGCTTAAAGAAACGAAATACATCCTGGTTACAGACAAAAAGAATTCCCGAAGATCTCTCACTTTCTGATCTGAGGGGAAGGAAAATGAGCCCCTACAGGTGAGAAAGAGGAGGATGAATTCCCTCCTATATTTCTGCTTTCCTTTCTTTATAACCTAAGCAATACTGTGCTGGTGATTCAGTGGTTGCAGCTGGGCAAAGAGCAACAGCTACCAACAAGAAGCACCTACAACTCTGAAGGAAGAAACTCTTCTCTCTTACCTGAGAATCTATGGTTCCAGGAGTTCAGAGTGATTCTTCACTGCTCTTTTTCTCTGTGTGCTTGTACCACATGGCTCTGAACCACAATAGAACTACAGCCCACTGGAGGAATTTGCATATTGAATCTGACCTAGCCGATTGCCATTGAAAACAACAGCAAAAGACATTGTCCTGACGTTTTAAACAAAACCCAGAGTCTCATAAGATAATATCCAAAATATTCAGGATATAATCCAAAATGGTTCAGCATGTAAAGAACAAGGAAAATCTCAACTTGCAAGTGAAAAGACAGTTACACTTCAGAACTAAAAATAAAAACACTGAAATTAAAAATTCACAAGATGATCTCAACAGCAGAATAGAAATGACAAAGGAAAAAGTCCATGAACTTAAAGATAGATCAATAAAAAGTATTCAATATAAGCAACAGAGAGGAAAAACGTTTGAAGAAAAATGAGCATAGCCTTAAGGATCTGTGTAACAATACAATGACACATCTGTGCCATTGGAGTTCTACAGAGAGAAGCATAAGAACAGAGTAAAAAATATATGAAGCCATGCATCTCTTAATGACAGTAATACATTCCGAGACATGTGTCGTTAGGCAATTTCATCACTGTGTGAACCACAGAGTGCACTTCCGCAAACATAGATGATAAAGCCTACTACACACCTACGCTATATGGTATATCCTGTAGCTCCTAGGCCATATGCCTGCATAACATGTTACTATATGGAATACTGCCGGCAATTGTATTACAATGGTAAGTGTTTGTATATCCAAACATATCTAAACAGAGAAAAGGTGTAGTAAAAATATGGTAGAAAAGACAAAAAATGGTACACCTATGTAGGACACTTACCATGAATGGAGCTTGCAGGACTGGAAGTTGCTCTGGGTGAGTCAGTGTGTGAGTGGTGAGTAAATATGAAGGCCTAGGACATTAATGTACACTATTGCTGACTTTATAAACACAGTACACTCAGGCTACACTGAATGTATTTTAATTATTTTCTTTAGGCTGGGTAAAAATTTGACAAAACCATTAATAGAGGTCCCCAAGTATTGGGAAAGTGTTTCAGGAAGTGCAAGCATATGACAGTTAAAATATATGGCACTGTGGACAGGTGCTTAAGATTTTTATGATAAAGTGTAGCAAGTTGCAAGGTATGACCAGTCATTTCATATCTTGCATCTTGATGTCACACCTTGCAGTGGAGTGGAGAGAAAAGTTATTGGGTCAAAAGAGTCGAGGAACCATGAGTCACTTTACAAGAATTATCAGACTGCCCATGGGGAGCAGTGACAAGAAGCCCAGGGCTACAGGAAGGGAGAGGACTATGATGGACATCAGTGGAGTCACGTTGCATGGTGGCATGAGTCTCAAAAGTCAAAGGCGTGTAACAACGGAGAAGCGAGTGGAAGTGGGGAATGCAGATCTGACTGGCCGGGTGTGGTGGCTCACACCTGTAATCTCAGCACTTTGGGAGGCCGAGGTGGGCAGATCACGAGGTCAGGAGATCGAGACCATCCTGGCTAACACGGTGAAATCCCGCCTCTACTAAAAATACAAAAAATCAGCCGGGCGTAGTAATGGGCACCTGTAGTCCCAGCTACTCAGCTGAGGCAGGAGAATGGTGTGAACCTGGGAAGCGGAGCTTTCAGTGAGCCAAGATGGTGCCACTGCACTCCAGCCTAGGAGAAGGGAAAAGGACTCTCTTCCCATAATTCCACGTGACCCAGGTGCCACGAATATATTACCATGTAGGGAAAAATCAATGGCTATGAACACTTTCTTCTTTAAATGTATAATAAAACAATACTTTTTTTTTTTTGAAACAGAATCTCACTCTGTCGCCCAGGCTGGAGTGCAGTGGCACAATCTCAGCTCACTGCAACATCTGCTTTCCAGGTTCAAGCAAGTCTTCTGCCTCAGCTTCCCGAGTAGCTGGGACTACAGGCGCATGCCACCATGCCAGGCTAATTTTTGTATTTTTAGTAGAGATGGGGTTTCACCATATTGGCCAGGCTGGTCTGAAAGTCCTGACCTCATGATCTGCCCACCTTGGCCTCCCAAAGTGCTGGGATTACAGGCATGAGCCACCACGTCTGGCCAAAAATACATTTTCTTTCTTCCCTCTTCTTCCACCCAAAGCCACGAATTTGACTTAAGATACATTTTTTTTCCTTTATATGTTCACATAACTTAAGGAATAGTAAACCAAAGAAGGAAAGAAAGAAACAGAAACTAAGCCAGATAGAAAAATGAGTAACTGGGGTCAGGCTCAGTGGCTCACACCTGTAATCCCAGCACTTTGGGTAGCTGAGGAAAGAGGAACAGTTGAGCCCTAGGCAACGTGGCAAAAACCAATTTCTACAAAAAAAAAAAAAAAAAAAAAAAAAGAAAAAAAATTAGCTGGGTGTGGTGTCACATGACTGTAGTCCCAGCTACTTGGGGGGCTGAGGAGGGATGATTGCTTGAGCACAACAGGTCGAGGCTGCAGTGAGCTGTGATCATGCCATCGCACTCCAGCCTGGGTCACAGAACGAGGCCCTGTCTCAAAACAAAATAAAATGGTGCCGGGCATGGTGGCTCACGCCTGTAATCCCAGCACTTTGGGAGGCCGAGGCGGACAGATCACAAGATCAGGAATCGGAGACCAGCCTAACCAACATGTTGAAACCCCGTCTTACTAAAAATACAAAAAATTACCCGGGCATGGTGGTGGGCGCCTGTAATCCCAGCTACTCGGGAGGCTGAGGCAGGAGAATCGCTTGAACCGGGAGGCGGAGGATGCAGTGAGCCGAGATCGCGCCACTGCACTCCAGCCAGGGCGACAGTGACTCAGTCTCAAAACAAAACAAAACAAAAAATTGTAACTGGAACCCCCCCCCAGCCCCAAATATCTCAGATCTAACTCCCACTGAGAATAGTTTTGAAATCTGAATATAATGATAACAGAAAAGCAAATCTCTTAAAGTCTAGGAGAATGATAAAAGGCAGACAGGATTTTTAAAGTAAAAAAATCAAGACACAGGCGGCCGGGCGCGGTGGCTCACGCTGTAATCCCAGCACTTTGGGAGGCCGAGGCGGGCAGATCGCGAGGTCAGGAGATTGAGACCATCCTGGCTAACACGGTGAAACCCCGTCTCTATTAAAAATACAAAAAATTAGCTGGGCATGGTGACGGGCGTCTGTAGTCCCAGCTAGTCTGGGAGCTGAGGCAGGAGCTACGCTGAGGCTGAGACAGGAGAATGGCATGAACCTGGGAGGGGGAGCTTGCAGTGAGCCGAGATTGCGGCACTGCACTCCAGCCTGGGCGACAGAGAGAGACTCCGCCTCAAAAAAAATAAAAAATAAAAAAAAATTAAAAATTAAAATAAAATCAAGACACAGGCATATCTGCATATCTATTAAGATTATTTTCACATTTTGCAAATCATTTTCCTTTCAGGGGATTTGCTGCTGAGTTTCAGTTTAGGGCATTGCAGTCAAACAGGAATCTGCAGCTCAGATAAAGTGGTTTTGGGAGACACAGGATATGAGAGCCCCTGAACTGGGCTATCAAGCAGTGAGAGTTTGAAGGACCTATTATCTAGGAAGAATTACAAGAGAGTGAGCCTGACATCTGCCTGGCTTTCGGTTCTTGATAGATTTACCCAATCCTATTTTTTTTTTCTAAGATTAGAAGCAAAGGAACCAAATAAAAGAGGTGCTTTCAGTGGTCTAGAAAGCTTAACAGAGCATTTGGAATTGTGGGTCCTGGGAGACAGAGGTGGGAGTTCATGGCCTATCTTTCAAAGGAGATCTGCTTGGAAAAATCACAGTCTCTGGAGTCGTGACTTAAAAAGAGATAAGCACTGGGAAAGTCACTAGGCTGAAATGTAGTCTTGATTCACTCCCTTGACTGACTGGATCAAGGCGGTCCTTTGACTGCCAGAAGAAAACCAAGTCCTCTCTGGAGAAGACAAGAATGCACAGCCAAGCTTGGGTATCAACGCAAACTCACCTGAAACATCCAGAAACAGCATCCCATGACCCAACACCAAGAGAGACACAATAAGAAAGGAGCAGGGGCCGGGCGCGGTGGCTCACGCCTGTAATCCCAACACTTTGGGAGGCGGAGGCAGGCGGATCACGAGGTCAGGAGATCGAGACCATCTTGGTTAACATGGTGAAACTCCGTCTCTACTAAACATACAAAAAATTAGCCGGGCGTGGTGGCGGGTGCCTGTAGTCCCAGCTACTCAGGAGGCTGAGGCAGGAGAATGGCGTGAACCCGGCAGGCGGAGCTTGCAGTGAGCCAAGATTGCTCCACTGCACTCCAGCCTGGGCGACGGAGCGAGACTCCGTCTCAAAAAAAAAAAAAAAAAAAAAAAAAAAAAAGGGAGCAGGGTTTCTGGATACCACTGTTATCAATAATAACAGGAACTTTAATAGTTAACTATGATTCATGTGTTTTAGAAAAGAAACAAATGATCCAGATTTTTGGCAGAAAACTGGAAACCATAATGAATCAAATAGAAATTCAGAATTGAAAATAAATATCTGAAATACAAAATGCATACATATGGGTTGAGTTGGAAGATAGATTAGTAGAAAACATTTTAAGTGAAGCAGAAAAAAATTGATAGAATGTACAGAAAATATCTGTGTAATTGAAGTTCCAGAAGAAAGGGAGAGAGGAATTGGGACATAAGCAATATTTTAAGACAATATCACCAAGAATTTCCCCAAACTGACAATAGACAGTAAAAGAGAGATTTAAGAAATTCTACAAAGCAGGCAAATTAATTTAAGAAAAACTTCACCTAGTACATTATAATAAGTATGCAGAAAAACAGGGCAAGGAAAAGATTTTAAAAGCAGCACAAACAAAGAAATGTTATTTTCAAAAGAGAAAATATTAATATAAGGCTGACAGACAGTGTCTCAATATACACAAAGGAGGTAAACAGAATGGCGTCCTTGAAATGTTGGGAAAGTGAAACAAGCTAACAGACAAAAAAGATAATTAAAAAGAAGTTTATTAATCAAAAAGAAAAAGCAATAAAAACCTCTAATTTATCAGTAATTACATTCTAAATAAATAGTAAAACTGATTGGGTGAAAATAAAACAACTCTTTTATACTTACAAGAAACAAACATTAAGTAGGCATACGTAGAATAGTTGAAAGTCAAAGGTTAGAAAAAGATATTCTTTGTAAAGACCAAACAAGAGAAGGAAAAAAAAATGTATAGCTTTATAATCATAAGTCAAAGTTGACATTAATGCAAGATATATTGCTAAAAAGAAAAAAAAAAGAATAACAGCCATCAAAGAGAGTGATATGACAATCCTAAATTTGTAAGCTTTAAATAATAATATATTCTCAAAATATGGAACACAGAAATTGACCAAACTGCAAACCAAAATAAGAACATTCAACATTATAAAGATTTTAACTTACCTCTCTAAAACTGATGCTCCAATCAGACAAAACAATCAATAGAAATGTCAATTTGAAC
This sequence comes from Homo sapiens, assembly GCF_000001405.40. Classification (NCBI taxonomy): domain Eukaryota; kingdom Metazoa; phylum Chordata; class Mammalia; order Primates; family Hominidae; genus Homo; species Homo sapiens. The sequence continues at coordinate 38,634,842 of NC_000009.12, read as the reverse complement.
AACTTGATTACAAACTTGACACACAGAAAGCCCTGCAACCAATACTTACAGAATATAATTTGTTGTAAGTGCATGTGGGACCCTTACCAAAATTGACCGTATTTAAATAAAAAATGCTATTTTCTGACAAAGGACTAGGATCTATGCTACAATATATAAAAAGAGCTCTTGATATTTAGAAAGAAGAAAAGAGGATCCTCTCATTAAAGAGGAGGTATAGATGGAAAATAAACATGTGAGACAGTGTTTTAAATCATTAGCGATCAGTTAAATGCACATAGCTATTAGAGAAACTTAAAAATAAATGCTGACACCACCAAATGCCTGTTGAGAATCCAGAGAATGTGGGGTGCTCACACATTGCTGGTGGGAATGTAAAATGGTACAACCAGTCTGGGGAATAATTTGGTAGATTCCTTAAAAACTAAGCATGTGATTTATACAATGCAGCCATTGCACTCTTTGGCTTTTATCTCAGATAAATGAAGATTTACGTTCACACAAAAACCTGCACAGACGTGTCCATAGCAGCTTCAGGTGTCGTCTGTCAAAAATAGTATCAGCCCAAATATTCTTAATCAGGTGAATGCTTCAGCAAGCTGTGGTATATCCACAACATGACATACTTACCCAGCAATAAAAAGGAACAAACTATTGGTATAAACAAGAACTGGGGCAAATCTCCAGGGAATTAAGCCAAGTAAAACAAGTCGAATCCCAAAATGTTAAACACTATGATTTCATTTGTATGACATTTTTTAACGAAAAATTTAGAGATGGAGACAGATTGGGAGTTGCCAGGGATTAGGGACAGTGGAGGGGGGCATTGCAAGGGGGTCGGTGTGATTTTCAAGGCACAGCACCAGAGAATTCTGAGGGGATAGGCTGCCCTGGGTTGACTGTGGTGGTGGATTCAGGAGCCAAGACGTGTGGCATAGTTATAGAGAGCTATGTGCACACATGGACACACAAAATACAAATAAAACACGGAAAGTTTTAACAAGGCTGGTAGATTGTATCAATGTCAATGTCCTGGTTGTTATAGTTTTGCAAAATGTTACCATTGGGGGAAACCAGGTAAAGAATACATGTGATCTCGTTGTATTATTTTGCACTACCTACTGCATGTGTATCTACAATTATTTCAATAAAAATTTCAAGAATTTAAAAATATTAACCATCCCCTATTTGTATTTACACACAATGGGAATTCTATGTAGATATTGAAGTAAACGAAACACTACTACAAACAATAACACGAATATATTTCACTAACATAATGTTGAACAAAATAGTATACATAGGACGATTTCACTTATAAAAAGGTTTAAAAAAGATATAAAACTAACTTATAGTTTGGCAAGATGGGAGGAAAGAATTGTGACTGGGAGAAGATACAAGAAGGCTTTGAAGGGTGCTGATAATTCTCTTAAGAGTTAATCTGCGTGGTGGTTCGCCTTGGAAAAATACGTGGAGCTAGACATTCATGATCTGTGCACTTTTTAGTTTGCTACACTTCAATAAATGTGCATATAGGGAAGAAAGAAAAATATATCATCGAACAAATAAGCAAACAAAACAAGCAAACAAAAAAGAACAATCTTGCCAACAAAAACAAATCTTCAGAAAGAAATACATATGCCAGGCACAGTGGCTCATGCCTGTAATTTGGGAGGCTGAGGCAGGCGGGTCACGAAGTCAGGAGTTCTAGACCAGCCTGGCCAACATGGTGAAACCCCATCTCTACTAAAAATACAAGAATTATCCAGGCGTGGTGGCGAGCGCCTGTAGTCCCAGCTACTCAGGAGGCTGAGGCAGAAGGATGACGTGAACCAGGGAGGCGGAGCTTTCAGTGAGCCGAGATAGCGCTACTGCACTCCAGCCTGGGCGAAAGAGCGAGACTCCGTCTCAAAAAAAAAAAAAAAAAAAAAAAAAAAAAAAAAATTGATTTAGTTACTGCACATCATTCACAGAAATACTTTTCCTTTTTCAATCGGTGTGTAACATTGCATGAGTTATTCCCATGTAATGACGGTTGTTCATCTTCCTTGAAGAATCTGGTACTCTGTGCTGCCTAAGGTGAGAACGTTGGGTTGATAGACAAATGATATGATTGAGGGGTTAAATCATGTGTTCATTTTCCCGAAATTACTTTGCTGAAAGCCAAGCTTCCTATTTGATTAGGGACATTTGTTTTGGTTGAATTGACTTTTTCTTCCACATTGTCTATTTCAGCATGCCTTTCTGTCAGCGTGTTGAGTTCAGTCAATAGATTTAGTATTTCTTTTCACTGGCTGACAGCAGCCCCTATGTGACTATTTTGTTTGTGTGACCCAGACTTTAATATGCAGAGGGAGTGTTCAATAAATGATGCCAAATATATTTCAGCTATGCATACTGTTCTTTACAAAATTCTCTTAATGTATAATTACCTATATTTTTAAAAGGAGAGTTTGTGATAAAGAGACATAATATTTCTAGACTAGACAAAACATTTTGTGAATGAACCCATACAATTTCTCATTGTAGAGATGCTTTCCCTTCGACAGTGCGATGCTGTACAATGCTACAGCAACAGTGCCCATCTCTAGTCACATAGATGGACATTCCTGCAGATTATCTCTCCAGTGTTTCCTCTTCCCCCCATCCCTTAACATCTCTTCCACATTTCCCAATTCTTGTCTCTTTATTGTGCATGCTGGTTAATTATTTCAGAGCTTTCTTCTTCTTCTTCTTTTTTCTTTCTGAGACTGAGTCTTGCTTTGTCACCCAGGCTGGAGTGCAGTGGCGCGATCTCGGCTCACTGCAAGCTCTGCCTCCTGGGTTCACACCATTCTCCTGCCTCAGCCTCCCCAGTAGCTGGGACTACAGGTGCCCACCACCATACCCGGCTAATTTTTTTGTATTTTTAGTAGAGACGGGGTTTCACCGTGTTAGCCAGGATGGTCTCGATCTCCTGACCTCGTGATCTGCCCGTCTCGGCCTCCCAAAGTGCTGGGATTACAGGCGTGAGCCACTGCTCCCAGCCATTTCAGAGCTTTCTTCTAATTTGCTGAGTCTCTCTTCATGTACGTTTGATCTGCTGTTTCAGAATCCACTAAATTCTTCATTTCTGTAATTCAATTTTCATTCTAAATACTGTTCTTTTTCAATTTTACTTGATAATTTTGATATAAAAAATAAGTCTCTTACTATTTCCATTTTCCCTGTTATCTCTTTAGACATATAAAGTGTGTTTATATTCTAAATCAAAATTATTTCCAGTTGTTGCATGCGAATGGGGAAGGCTGGGAGAAGTGGGAGGGAAAGAGAAGCAAGAAAGTGCTTAGAAATTATATGTATAGCTGGGCACGGGGGCTCACGCCTGTAATCCCGGCGTGATTTGGGAGGCCGAGGTGGGTGCAGCGCTTGAGCCCAGGAGTTCGAGACCAGCCCAGGTAACACAGGGAGACCCAGTGCCTACACACACACCAAACAAACAAACAAACAAACAAACAAAAGACACAAAAATGAGCAGGGTGTGGTGGCACACTCCTGTGGTCCCAGCTACTGGGGAGGCTAAGGAGGCAGGATCGCTTGAGCCTGGGAAGCAGACATTGCAGTAAGCCAAGATTGTGTCACTGTAGTCCAGCCTGGGTGACAGAGCCAAACACTCTCCCCCCATCCCCCCCCAAAAAAAAGAAAACAAGAAATATGTTGGTAATCTTGATGGTTGTAATGGTTTCAGAGTTCTATACCTACGTTAAAACTTACCAAATTGAACCTTTTATTATTTATTTAGTAAAACACAGGATCTCACTCTGTCTCCCAGGCAGGATGCATGGAGTGCAGTGGTGCAATCATGGCTCACAGCAGCCTCGACCTCTCGGGCTCAAGCTATCCTCCCACCTCCACCTCCCAAGTAACTGGGACCACAGGTGCGGGCCACCATGTCCTGCTCATTTTTGTATTTTTTGTAGAGAGAGGGTTTTTTTCTGTGTTACCCGGGGTGGTCTCAAACTGCTGGACTCAATCAATCATCCTGTGTTGACCTCTCAAAGTGCTGGGATTACAGCTGTGAGCCACCGCCCCCAGCCTGCACATTTTCAATGTGCGCTTTTCTGTATATGTCAAGTAAACCTCAACAAAATCTCAAAAAAATATTTAGTGCAGATGCTATTAGTCTTGGCAATGTAATCATGGTACAACACTCCAATTAGTCAGTTAGGAAGCAAAAATCCTGAGACACTGCACCCCAAATGAAAAATAGAGATTTTATATGGAATTTGTACATCACCTAGCTAATTTTACAAAACTATTAATTTTTTTCAGTTTCTAATCTCATTTCTATACGCTTGTCGTTTCTATCCTTTTTCTTCTGTATGTTGATATAAACAGAAATCACTGAAGACTTCAGTCTTCTAGGCTAATTCTCTAACTCAGTGCCCTGCAAATGTGGCTTATTAATAGTCTTTGTCCATCTTAATGAAAACATAATTTGCAGCAATAATATTGAGATTCACCTGGTGTATTAATATTTTAACAGAAATTTAATGAACTGAATTACAAGCTATCAGGTAAATCAAGTAGGCCACAGGTTCAGTAAAAAGGAAAGCACCTTCTGAACGTTGATCCTAATACCTGTGAGCATTCACGCTCTGAAATTATAGCTGAGTGCACACTGTGTGCCAGACGCGGTCCTACGTGCAGGGATGTACAATGCCCAAGGAACTGCCGGTGCCAGGATGTGGGCTTGTCAAAAGGGGCCTGCAGTGTATGTGAGGAGACCTACCACGGGGGACACACTGGAAAAACCACCAAGATGGTCCAGCGCAATCAGTGAGGCAAATGCATGGGGAGGTGGGGAGCGAGAGCTGCAGAAGGAACGGAGGCTCCATAGGGAGCCTAGAGTGGAGAGAAGTCCCTGGAGGGAGGGGCTATGGAGGTCCTGGTGGAAGAAAGCCTGGGGAGCCCGGTGGGTGTGGATTAGGGTCAGGAAGGGATCAGTGAGTGAAGAGAAGCGTTTCAAGGAGTGAGTGTGATGTGTGTGTGTGTGGGTGTGGGTGGTTTGTGTTTATGTGGCGTATGTGAGTATATATGGAGTGTAGTGGGCTTGGTGTGTGGGTGTGATCTGAGTGTATGCATGGGGTGTCCATGGTGTGTGTGTGGAGTGTGTGGTGTGTGTGTGGTATGTGGGTGTATGGGGGATGTTTGTGGTGTGTGTGTGTGGAAGGTGTGTGTGGTGTGTTTGTGGTATGTGAGTGTGAGTGTATCAGGGATGGCGGTGGTGTGTGTGGTGTCTGTGTATGTGGTGTGTGTGTAGGAGTGGTGTGTGAGAGTTTGTGTGATGTGTGTGGTGTGTGTGATGAGTGTGTGTATGTTCACGGTGTGTGTGTGGAATGTGTGTGTGTTTTATGTGTGGTACGTGAGTGTGAGTGTATAGGGAGTGTTTTTGGTGTGTGTTTTATGCATGTGGTGTGTATGGTGTGTGTGTATGTGGCATGTGTGTGAGTGGAGGTAGTGAGTGTTGTATTTGTGAGAGTGTGCGTGATGTGCATGTGGTGTGTGTGGGGGTGGTATGTGTGGTATGTGTGGTATGAGTATGTGTGTATTGGGGTGTCTATGGTGTGTGTGTGTGGAATGCATCAGTGTGTGGTATTGTTTAATACTGTGAGTGTGAGTGTATGCGGGAGTGTTTGTGTGTGTGTGTGATGCATGTGGTGTGTGTATGTGGTGTGTGTGGATGTAGGAAGTGAGTGCAGTGTGTATGAGTTTGATGTGTGTGGTGTGCATGTGGTATGAGTGTGCGTGTATTGGGGTGTTCAGAGTATGTGTGTGGAATGTGTGTTTGGTGTGTGTGTGGTATGTATGTTAGTGTAGGTGGTGGGTGTGATGTGTGTGTGGTGTGTGTGGTATTTGTGGTATGAATATGTGTGTGCTGGGGTGTTCATGTGTGTGATGTGTGTAGAATGTGTGAGTTTTTGGTGTGTGGTGTGTGTGTATGGGGGGTGTTTATGGTGTGTGTGTGTGTGTGTGTGTGTGTGTGTGTGTGTGTGATGTGTTGTCAGGGAAAGTGTGAAATGTTTTCCTGGGAAAGGAAGATCTTCAGGTAAGAGAACTGTAGCAGGGTTACTGTAGCAGCAGGACAGCAAATAGATCATGAGGTGCGTTAGAGATGGGGAGACCAAAGCAGTTACTACTGGCAAGTTGACCCAGATAACTGAAATCTGCAAAGCTTATGATTGACAGAGGAATTATAGAAAGTCAAAATACACACATGCACAGTAAGACTTTCTGATTCTGTACCAGAGGCTTCTTTTCAATATTTTAATTTTGTAACATTATCTTAATAGCACATTATTATTAATAATATTTTGAATAATGAAAATACCCGGTACAAACATTTTCCCTAAACTATTGCTTATCATGTGATTCCACCCAAGGTCAAGGACCAGGGTCACATTTCTGTTTTTATACTTCAGGTCAATAGGAGCAATAACAATGGCTAACATTTACAGAAAATCGGCCGGGCCCGCTGGCTCACGCCTGTAATCCCAGCACTTTGGGAGGCCGAGGCGGGCGGATCACGAGGTCAAGAGATTGAGACCATCCTGGCTAACACGGCGAAACCCCGCCTCTACTAAAAAAATACAAAAAATTAGCCGGGCATGGTGGCGGGTGCCTGTAGTCCCAGCTACTCGGGAGGCTGAGGGAGGAGAATGGCGTGAACCCAAGAGGCAGAGATTGCAGTGAGCCGAGATTGGCCACTGCACTCCAGCCTGGGCGACAGAGTGAGACTCCGTCTCAAAAAAACAAAAAAAAATGTGCAGAAAATTTATGTTCCAAGTCTTATTTACATATATAAATTAATTCAATCTTCATAACAGTCTATAAGGTAGGTCATTATTATTAGCTGTTTTTAGAGAATAGGAAACTGTGACACAGAGAGGGAAAGTAAATTACTCACTATCACACCGCATGAAGCTGTGGAATGAGAATGCCAACCCAGACATTCTGCTTGCAGCCACCCCACCCCAATGTCTATCAGAAAATGTGGTTCAGTATTTTGAAAGAATGCTGGTGGATCTTCATTTATATACCTCCACTGTGCCTCTTGTATGTAATTCTGAACATAAAATTAGAAACAATCTTCACCTGAAAATAGAGATATTCCCTCAGCAATAGCATAGGCATGTCATCATGCCCTTGAGCTAGCTAGTCACAAAAATTCTTACAGATCACACAGCAGGTTTTGTAGACAATAATGACCAGCCATGGGCAGACACAGAACTCCCCAGCCCAGACTAGTAAGGTCAAGTCTGCAAGCACAACGGAAGCTCCTTCTTGCTGGGACAGGTGACTGGAAACAAGACCACAGTTCCCACGCCCAGAGGCAGTTGCGACTCAAGTGTGTTTAGTCTCCTGGGCCTGGAGGAGAGTAAAGGGCAGCCCGCTGGGCTGTGATGGCCATCTGCCCACCTGCAGTCTCCGCCCTGATGCGCATGGTCCCTTCCTTCCTAGCCAGACCGTGTTCCAATCACCTAGTTCTAATCAGCCTAGAACCTCTAATCAGTTCTAATCATCTAAGGTGCATCAGATGCTGCTTCAAGTTTCAATTACACTGTATAAACCAGGTTTCTGGAGAATTCCAGCCACAGAGTGATCCCAGGCACTCACCCCGAACCCTGCATATGGAACCTGACTCAGATCTATGTTGGATTCACAGTACCCGCCTAGTGATGGCAATTTTGTCCAACAGCACATGCCTCCCCTCTCCGGCTCTTTGCTCTTGGGTAGTCTCCCTGACACCTGGCCTTTGTGTCTACCTCAGGAGCTCCCAGCAGCGCTGGTAACAGGCACCAAGCTTCTGAGTAAAGCCTTGGGCCATAAGTCATGTCATTCATTTCACTACTGGCGGAAGATAAAACACCAAAAATCAGCCGAAGAACTGTCCCTTGGAGAAGTGGCTCAACATTTGGAAGGGTGAGGTACACTCACAGAAAATTTCATTTTTATTAGGCTTCCCACAAAATATTAATGAAATACTCATAGTGATTCTCCATCTTCCATTTATATTAAAAACAGTATATTTTAAATGTATCAATTTTGGCTGGATGCAGTGGCTCACATCTATAATCCCAGCTCGCATCTATAATCTCAGGCTGAGGCAGGAAGCTCACTTGAGTCCAGGAGTTTAAGACCAGCATAGGCAACAAAGTAAGACCCTTCTCTTAAAAAAACAAAAAAACAAAAAAACAAAAAAAAAACCAAATAACCAGCCAGGCATAGTGGCACATGCCCGTGGTCCCAGAGGTTGAGGTGGGAGAATTCCTAAATCGTAGGATGTTGAAGCTACAGTGAGCTATGTTCATACCACTGCACTCCAGCCTCAGTGACATAAATTAAGCCCTTTTTCTTAAAAAAAAAAAAAAAAAAGAAAGAAAATGCTAGAAAACAAAATACTGCAACAGAAATGAAGAATGTCCTCAATAGGTTTATCAGTGAACTGAACACGGTCAAGAACAACATCAGTCATCTTGAAGGTATGTCAATAGAGACTTCCCAAACTGACATGCAAAGAGAAAACAATGGGAAAAAAGAACAGAATATTCAATAATTGTTGTAGCATGTAGCACATGCACAATGGGATTGCTAGAAAGAGAAGAAAGAGGAAAAAATGCAGATAAGTATTTGAAGTAATACTGACTGAGAATTTTACAACATTACGTGTTGAAACCACAAATACAGGAAGTTCAGAAAAATACCAAAAATATATACTCATATGCAAATTATATTTCAACTTCAGAAAATCAAAGACAGACAAATTGTTGAAAGTGAATGGAATAAAAGACTTGATTTATAAAGAAGCAAGAATAGGATTTACATAGGACTTCTTGTCAGAAACCATCCAATCAAAAGAGAGTAAGTTGAAATATTTAGAATGTTGAAAGAACAATATAATCAACTGATATTTTTGTATCTAGTAAAACTATCCTTCAAAAGTGAAGGAGAAAAAATACTTTCTCATACAAACAGAAACTGAAGAAATGTGTCACGAGCAGACCTACTTCGTAAAAAATTTCAAAGAAGAGTTTCAGGAAGAAGAAAAATTATAAGAAATTTGGATCTACATAAAGAAGGGAGAGCTTAGAGAAGGAATACATGAAGGTAAAATAAAATCTCTATTTTGCTTACTTTTATATAATCTAATGGATAAGAAGAAGATAATGAAGGAGGAGGAGGAGGAGAAGGAGGAAAAGGAGGAGGAGGAGAAGGGGATGAAGAAGAGGCAGAAAGAGGATGGGAAATGGAGGAGAGGAGACAAATGAGAAACAGAAACAGAAGACAAAAATTACTAGTATCAGAAATGAAAGGTTATCAGTATTGATGCCATGGGCGTTAAAAGGATAATAAATGAATAGTATAAACACTATGTGCTCTCAAATTTGATTACTTGGACAAAATGGATCCATATCTTGAAAGTCACAAACTACCAAAACTCCTTTAGTTTGTTCAGGATGCTATACCAAAATGCCATAAACTGGGTGGCTTATAAACACAGAAACTTATTTCTCATAGTTCCGGAAGCTAGGGAATCCAACATCAATTCTAGGCATCAGCAGATTTCATGTCTGCTGAGGACTCAATTTCTGGCTCATGGAAGCCATCTTTTCAATATGTTCTCACATAACAGAAGGGGTGAGGAACCTTTCTAGAAAAAACCACTAATCCCACCTATGAGGGCTCCATCCTCATGACCTAATCACTTCTCAAAGGACCTCAAATACCATCACATTGAGGATTGATTTTGGCACTTGAATTTTGGGGAGACACAAAAATGTAGTCCATAGAACTTACAAAAGGAGAAATAGATAATTCAAATAACTCTTTATCTAGTATAGAAATATATGAATAATTAACAACCTTCCAAGAAAGAAAGCAACAGGCCTAGATTGTTTCACTAGCGAATTGTATGAAACATTTAAGGAGGAAAAGATACCAATTATTTACAATTGCTACCAGAAAACAGAAGCAAAAGGAACATATCCCAACTCATTTTATGAAGTTCTAATACCAAAAGCAGAAAAAGACATTTAAAGAAAAATGTTCAGACAAATGTCTCTCATCAAAAATTCTCAACAAAATATTAGCATGCTGAATCTAGCAATACATTGTTGAATTACACACCAAGACCAAGTGAGATTTATTCCAGGTATGCAAGCCTGGCTTAACACAAAATAGTTAAGGCAATCCCTCAGATAACTAGCTAAAGAAGAAAAGTTATTTGATTATATTAATAGATCAAGAAAGCATTTTACGGAATCCAAAGCCCATTCATGGTTAAAACTCTCAGCAAATTAGAAATAGAAGGGAAATTCCTCAACTGATAAAGAACATATACCAAAAGAACATCCTACAGACAATATCATACATAATGTGAAAAATGGGATGTTTTACACAAAAGAAGCAAGGAAATGTTATCCCCTCTCACTGCTCCTATTCAACATCATACTAAAATCCTAGCTAATGCAATAAGACAAGAAAATAAAATAAAAGGTATACAGATTGGAAAGGGAGCATTAAAATGCCCTTTGCTTGCTGATAACTTGATTTTCTATGTAGAGAATCTCAAAGCATCAGCCAAAAACCCTTCTGGATTATAGCAAGGTTGCACGGTATAAGGTTAATATACAAAATCAATTGCTGTCCTACATCCAGCAATGAACAACGAGAATTTGAAATTAAAAGCCCAATACCATTTTCATTAGCATCAAGAAAATGAAATAGACACAATCTAGCAAAATATGGGCAGGGTCTATGTGAGAAAAACTATAAAATCTGTTGAAAGGGATTAAAGATCTAAATAAATGAAGGGACATCTGTATTCACAAAATAAGACCCAGTGTTGTTAAGATGTCAGTTCTCTTCAGTGTGATTTACAAATTCATTACAACTCTCGTGAAAACATGAATAAATTATTGTGTGGAAATTGACAAACTAATTCTAAAGTTTATATAGAAAGACAAACTAACAAGAATAGCCAACAATATTGTGGGGGAGGAACAAAGTTCAAGGACTTGCAAAGTGATCAACGGAACAGAATAGAGAACTCAGAAATAAGAGTGCACAAACACAGTCAATTGATCTTTTACAAAAAGGTAAAGGCAATTCAAGGGAGAAAGGGTAGCTTTTTCAAAAACAGTGATGAATACATTGCGTGTATGTATATATACATATATGCAAAAAAAAAAAGAATTGAGACACAGACCTTGCTCCTCAAAAATTAACTCGAACGACACATTTTTAAGTTAATAATATTTTAAATTGTCAAACCACAATTGCATACATTTATGGGGTACAATGTGATGCTTGGATATGTGTATAAAATGAGGAATGACTACATCGAGGATAAAATATCCATCACCTCATGGCGTGAACCCAGGAGGCGGAGCTTGCAGTGAGCCGAGACCCTGCCACTGCAGTCCGGCCTGGGCGAAAGAGCGAGACTCTGTCTCAAAAAAATAAATAAATAAACAAATAAATAAATAAAATAAAAAATACCCATCACCTCAATTTTATTTTTTGTGGTTAGATATTTGAAATTTACTTTTTGTTATTTAAATATACAGTACATTATTATTGACTATAGTCATCCTGCTGTGCAATAGATTTCAAAACGCATTTCTCCGGTTTAACTGAATCTTTGCATCTGTGAACAACTTCCCATTTTTCTCCCCAGCAACACAGCCTCTGGTAAGCATCATTATACTCTCTACTTTTATGAATTCAATTTTTAGACCTAAATTTAAATCCAAAAGCTGTAAAACTTCTGTAAAATAACAAAAGGGATATTTAGGTAACTTTGGGTTTGGCAATTACTTTGTAGATACAACAGTAAAGTACATAAAAGACAAATTTCTACCATGAAAGAAGATATTGGTATGAAGTCGTTACAATTAAAAACTTTTGCTCTGGGAAAGGAAATAAGAGAATGGAGAAACAAGCCACAGACGGAGAAAATATTTGCAAAACACCTGTCTGGCATCCAGACCATTAAAAACCACTTACAACTCAACAATAAGAAATCGAACAACCCAATTAGTAAATGGACGAAAGATCTAAAGAGGCTCCCATCAGAGATGGCATATAGAAGGGGAAAAGCTTATGAAAAGATGTTTGCCCTCCCAACGCTTTTCCCTCCCTGCGTCCCTCTCCCTCACACACCCTCCGCTGCAGCGGAGTGGGAGCGGGTCAGGGGCGCTAGGCGGTGACGGTGACGGTGACGTGCTGTCTCTCGGGCGAGGCGTGGGATTTAAGCGCATTATAAGCCGTGGGTCCCGGGGAATCCGAGAGGCTGAGCTTGGAGCCCAGACTGACCCGCCTCTCTCATGGTCCCGGCCCACTGCCCTGCAGAGCCCGCCTTACTCTTCCTCTCCACAGGTCTGCTGTGGCTCCACCAAGCCTGGTAGGCCCACAAGGAGCTGCATCCAGCAGGAGCCGCCGCCCGGGAACAAGCTACCCGCGGGCTCTGGGGACAACCGCCCGTCTGATGAGCTCGGCTGAGCGTGCACGCAATGTCGAAATCAAGGACGCCTGGATGCTTTTCATGGCAGAGTGACAAAAGTTTACCAACAAGAAGAGGAGCAGGGCTGCTGAAAGGTGCGGTGCCGCGGCGCCAGAATGCGGGATCCTGAGCCCTGCATGCGAGTCTTCGCGGGGCCGATCGCTGCGAGCCTCGCTTAGGTCCAGCCGCCTCCAGGGAGGGCAATATCCACGAGACGCGGGGAGTGAGGGCGGTGCTGGCCGCACCCCTGGTCCTGGGGCCGCGGGAGCCGTGCTAGCAGGCCGCCTTCCACTGCCGCCTGCGCCGGGTCGGGTTGCTGCAGCGGTGCCCGCTGCAGGAGCTCCGCGCCTGCTGCTTCTCCGACGTCAGGGCGCCGCCAGGATGACAGGTGCAGGAGGCTGCGGCTGTGGGCAGATGTGGTTTCCAGCCCCAGGTCCCGGCGGCCCCTGGCTTCCCAGCCCGCTGTCCTGTGGGCAAGAAGATGAAGAAAGTCACCCCATCAGCAGGTCAGCTGCCCCGCCTGGCAGCCCAGCCAGACAAGGCAACCGAAGTTCATCCTGTCTGAGTTGACTTTGTGCAGGCAGCGGGCCGGCGCCCAGGATGCTGGGGAGCCCTGCGCGCCGGAGGCCGACAAGCCGTGGGGCCCAGAGGCGCCACAGGGCGAGAAGGCACCCGCCTCCCAGCGCTTTCACCCCCCGGCCCGCCCGACCCGCTAGGTGTAGCAGTGGCTGCGGCCAAGCCAGGCATTCTGCCCGGCGGCGGCTGCACAGGGGCGAAAACTGAGAACCCCTGCTCAACCCCATCCGGAGTGACTGCCAAGTGCCCATGCCAGCGACCCCGATCCCCCTCCGGTGGAGGAATGGGCGGGAGGCACGGCCTGGGGGCCCTCAGGCTGGGCGCGCTGGCGATCCCGAGGCCGACCAGGCCATGCACCTCCAGCCCGCCTGGGCACCCAAGCTGCATCCGCCTTCTGTGTGCAGGCAGCAGCCTCCAGGCAACCCCCGAGCCCGCCAGCACTCCCCACATCTCAGAACCGGGGCCAGATGTCCCTGTGGCTGCGGCTGAGCTAGGTGGTCTGCCCTGCAGCGGGAACCGGCTCTCAGCCCCATTCCCCGTGGCTGCAGAGGGCCACTGGCTAGAGGTCCCGAGCTTCAGCAGACGAGGAGCCGAGCAGGGGCAGGGCCTGGCGGGCTCTCAGGCCAGGTGCACTCGCGATCCAGAGGCCGCCTAGGCCGTGCTCCACCACCTGGGCGCCCAAGCTGCAGGCGCCCTCTACCTGCTGGCGACAGCTGCCTGGCAACTCCCAAGATGGCTGGCGCTCCCAGCCTGGCAGAACCGGGGCTACATGTCGCCCTGGCTGCGGCCAAGCCAGGCGGTCTACCCGGCGGCGGCTGCACCGGGACAGGAACCGACCCCCCAGTCCCATCCCCGGTGGCTGCGGAGGGCCCCTGTCAGCGGCCCCGATCTCTCTTCGGAGGAGGAGCGGGTCGGGAGTCAGGGCCAGGCAGGCCCTCAGGCGGGAAGGGATGCACTCCTGGGATTCCGGGACGTCCCGCGGGAGCCCAGGAGAACCCGCAAGCCAGCGACGCGTGCGCCCGTGCTGCAGGTGCCCCCTGCCGGCCACGAGGGCTTGGGAGCGGCTTCCGGAGTCCCGGCTGGCGCTGAGTTGTAGGCGCGCGCCTAACTGGCATCGCGGGGACTCACTCGGTCTGAGAGTTCGGAGCGCTGAGGTTCAGGCGCGCGCCTAACGGCTTAGCTGGGCTCACTCGGTCTGAGAGGTCGGAGTCTGCGAGTGTCGCTGCTGAAGGCTGTGGTGGACCGGGCTGGATCGCGGATTCTGAGCTACATTGCGGGTTTGGGGGTGGATCTTGGATTTGGGGGTGGATCGCGGGTTGCGGGGGGGATCGCGGGTTGCGGGGGAGATCGCGGATTTGGGGCGGAGTGGGGGTGGAAAGGCCACGAGGAGCCGCCGCGGCTCAGGAGCGGGTGGTGGGCGTCTGAGAAGTCGCCACCATGAGGAAGCTCTTCAGCTTCGGGAGACGCCTGGGCCAGGCGCTCCTGAGCTCCATGGACCAAGAGTATGCGGGTCCGGGTTACGACATTCGGGACTGGGAACTGCGGAAGATCCACAGGGCTGCCATCAAGGGCGACGCCGCGGAGGTGGAGCGCTGCCTGACGCGCAGGTTCCGGGACTTGGACGCCCGCGACAGAAAAGACAGGTAGCTCGGGGACTCAGCCCGCGGTGGGAGGGGGCCGCAGGCCCGGCTTCCCTGCAGCCCGGCAGCCCCTGGGGCGGGGACCTTGGAGGGCGCCGGGCACCCTCGGAGCAGCGGAGCCAAATGGAGCCTCAGCTGCTTTCCGTCGCTGGCAATTCCCCGTCCGTCGCGCTTGGTGGAAAATTTGAGTGATTTAACTCACAAAGTTAGGCATATCCACGTTTAAAACATGGGGCCATATACATGATAGGGAGGTGCCTAATGAGAACTCATTCCCCTGTCAAAAATACCATGAGCCTTTTTCAGTAGGCGAAGAGTTCTCAGATAAAACCCTGTGTCGGTTTTACATCCGAATCCACCTAGGTAGACAGGTTCTTTACTGGAGCTTCTTAGAGGGACACTGGGAAGCGCGAGGTGGGTTCCTTGAATGGGAAGACTCAGTTTTCTCAAAATATGAACTGTTTCCATGTTTATCAGTTTTACATAAACTGAATGAAGATATCAAGGTTTTATCATTTTTGCATGACACTTGCTATCTATCTTACCATTGTGATGACATTTAAAAATGTTTATAATGGAGTGAAAAGACTTGCTCCTCTAGATATCAAAATGTGCTATTAATTCCCACAATTAATTATTTACTAACAGCTGAAAACACAGATAAATAAATGGAACAGAACAGGAAATCCAAAAACACTGAAATATATGTAAGATATATACATAGGGATGGATAATGGTAACGTTTCAGATGAGTAGGAAAAGATGAGTTATTAATAAAATGCCTGCTGTGTGAAGAAAACTAATGAAACTTTATGTCGCAAAAATGGGTTCCTGATGGAATTCAGACTGAAATTTTTACACATGCAAAATGAGAAAAAGTACCAGAAGAAAACGCAAAGACTTATTTATACAGGTACATTTTATGTTAACAAAGGCCTTCGTAAGAATGACCTCGCAAGCAGGCATTCTGAAAGTTGATTTAGCAAACTAAAAATTAAAATCCCCTGTGTATCAGAAAAAAATTAACAAAAGATAACACACTCGAAAAATATTTCCTATATATATTTTTACTAATATATAAAAATATATATTCAGATGAAAAGTGTATCTTCATCCTACAGGGAATTTATTCTTTATTATATATAATACATATTACTGATTATATGTATAAGAAATTGTATATATTACTAATATAATGTGTTATATATATATATCAGTTATATATATACAGATAAAAAGCACATCTTTATTTTACAGGGAATTCTTTCCAATCAAATCCACAAGAAAAGAACTCTAGAAGTGAGCAAAGCACTTTTTGCAGATTCACAAGTTACTTATGTACATAGGAAAAAATCCTTAGTGTTTCTCATAAGATAAGTTAAAAGAGGAGTGAGACTGTGTTCTATCCACAGTGTTTGTGAGAATGAAGAGCAGTGGCACTTACACTGCTGCTTGAAGTTTAAGTTGCTGATGACTTTTCAAGTGGATAATTTGGAGATAATTACCACATTTTAAAAATGTATATGCCCTTTACCCATCAATTCCATTGTATTAAAATACCTTCAGAAAATAGAGATACATGCACTTTTTTTCCCCAGCATTTATGTTAACAAGAACCCATAGAATGGTATGTGGCCATTGAAGGTGGCAATAGGTGGAGAAGTATGTTGATATGTGAAGATGCATTTTGTTACAGCCAGTGAGGAAAAACAAATCAGTTTGCTTGCACATACACACAAACATACTATGGTCTGGTGTTAGGCAATACTATGCACAAAATAGGATAAAATTTGTAACTTCTGAGCATTTGTATTTTAAAGTTTTTTGTTCCTTTTTCTTACCTTTGATTTCTGAAGTGAGCATTTATAAAATTTCTAGTAAAAATTTATTATTAATGGAATAAATTTTGGGAAGAGAAATATGACTCTTGAACAGATAAAAATAATTTCTCACTATTTTTTATCATTATTATTGTGAGGGTTTGAACTTTTAGCTTCTTCAGAAGTAAAAAGGGAATCTTTTTATCTGTGCTTGCAGATTTTATGTATATACTTTATTATGTATATATGTTTTTCTTATGTATAGATTCATTACATATAGGCAAACAATGATAGATTAATCATTTCATTATAGTTGTAGTCTTATCAAAATAACAAATAGCAAATATTATTACTATCACAAAAATATTGGTTTATAGAAGTTGTATTTAAAAATATTGAGCTCCCCAACTGTATTCTATCAATCCATTTATTCATCAAACATAACTCGAATATGTTATGTAGCAAACATTTTGCACTATCTCTCAGGACCCTTCCATACTTAAAAACTTTATGTTTACCTGTTCTGCCTGAGCAAGATGAGAGATTTAAAATAGGAATAGTAGAACTTAATCTCACTGAAGCTTTTCCTCCCACCTTTCAAGCAAAAGCCTTTCTGAAGGTAGAAAACAATAAGAGATAACCTTTAACTGCCCTTTTGAAAATTTATCAGTCTTAAATACTAATATTAATCATTGGAAAGTCTGATTTGCATATATTCTGTAAATCTAAGTGTTGACTAAAATGAGCCATACCTGTTCATCTCAATCATGAGTTTCCTTTAGCTTCACGTTTCTTTTTGTTTGTTTGTTTGTTTTTTCGTTTTGCGACAGAGTCTCACTCTGTCGCCTATGCTGGAGTGCAGTGGCGTGATCTCAGCTCACTGCAACCTCTGCTGCCAAGGTTCAAGTGATTATCCTGCCTCAGCCTCCCGAGTAGCTGGGATTACAGGTGCCTGCCACCGCACCCAGCTAATTTTTGTAGTTTTAGTAGAGACAGAGTTTCACTATGTTGGCCAGGCTGGTCCTGAACTCCTGACCTAGAGATCCACCTGCCTCGGCCTCCCAAAGTGCTGGGATCACAGGCGTGAGCCACTGGGCCCGGCCAGCTTCCCATTTTTAAAAATCAAAGTAAGAAGTAATTTGTTTAAAAAATATGTTGTTATTTCAGTGCTCTTTCCCCATGGTACTTTGAGGAATTAAAATGTATTTAAGTGTCAATTAGATTCCTAGAATTGCCCTAGACCTGCTGTGTATACAGTATTCTACTTAATGTAAGACCTCATGGATTGTGTGATACCCTACTATTTTCTATATTAATAAGATGATTTTTAAATGCTACCAATTATAAATGCTACCATATAAAAATTATGAATTATAAATACCACTCCAATATCAGATATGCTAAAATGTGACCTAATCTTTAAATCATCCTGCAAAATAGCAATAATTGTATCATTTTACTTAATTAAAATATTTTTGTTAAATACTAGTAATATAATTATAACATCTGGCTGAGTGCATGGCTCACACCTGTCATTCCAGAACTTTGGAAGGCTGAGGTGGGAAGTTCCCATGATGCTAGGAGTTTGAGACCAGCCTGGGCAACAAGGTGACATTCCTACTCTACAAAAAAAAATTTAAAAATTAGCTGATCATGCTGGTGCACTCCTGTGGTCCCAGCTATTCAGGAGGCTGGGGCAGGAGGTTTGCTTGAGCCTACAAGTGCCAGGCTGCAGTGAGGTATAAATACACCATTGCACTCCAGCCTGGGCAACAGAGCAAGACCGTGTCTCAACAAACAAAAGTCTAACAGTTATTGAGTTGTTGCTTGTTCTGGAAACAGTTCTAAATGCTTTACATAGATTTTCATTTAAGCATCACAGTGGTGTCCTGTGAGCTAGCTGCTGTGGTCATCTTTATTAATGAGGAAATTCAGGCACAGAAAGGCTAAGCAATAGCTGGTACGTGACCGAGTTCAAAGTAGAACTCAAGCCCTAGTTAAGCTGAATCCAAACACCAAGCTCATTCTATCCAAATAGGCTGCTGTTTCATTAAGGTAGGGAGCAGTAAGAGCTAATAAATATTGTACTTTCTTCAAAAGAAAATTATTTGTTTTGAAGGCAGAGGAATAATGCCATTCAATGTTTACAATGACATGGACCATTGTAGGTTTTGAGATATTGCACTACATTTCCTGAAAACCCCTCTCGCTCTCCTAGGACTGTTCTACATTTGGCCTGTGCCCATGGCCGTGTGCAAGTGGTCACTCTCTTGCTGCACAGAAGATGCCAGATCGACATCTGTGACAGACTAAACAGGACACCTTTAATGAAGGTATATAGTAGCCAACTCTTTCAGCATGAAATGGATTTGATTTAAATACATAGAATTAAAATGAATTTGTCTCATTTAAATATAGCTAGTTGGTGAAACCTGTGGAATATGTATTTTGAATTCTTAGAATTTATAGTCTAGTTTTTTATCTAACACTAATAGGCTGTACACAGCCAGGAAGAGGCTTGTGCCATCGTTCTCCTGGAATGTGGCGCCAATCCAAACATTGAGGATATCTACGGCAACACTGCTCTCCATTATGCCGTGTATAATAAGGGGACTTCACTGGCAGAAAGACTGCTTTCCCACCATGCAAATATTGAAGCACTAAACAAGGTACAGATCAATCAACTTTCTTTTCAAAATGTTTGTTTTAATATTGACATAGTTAAGAGTCAATTTTTCATATTTGGAACTCAAGTATTCCTGAATGAAAATGTCTTGAAATAATTGTCTAAAATTTTACTTTAAATATTGATACTTTTAAAGAAGCATTAGAGGGCACAGCTATTTTAGTGCACGTATGGGAAGTATTTGTGAATTTGTTAAGGTAAAACTTCTTCTTTTCAAGTATTTGTTTCCTACCCCAGGTGTATTTTTTTTCTAATTAGTGTAAAAACAGCACAGGGAAAAAATTACCCTGGAAATAGGCTTTATCTTAAAACTCAAAACTAAAGCAACTTACAATAAATGGAAGTCTTGCTGCTGCTGACGGTTTTCTAACAAAATGGATGTATCTTTCATGGGCAAGGTTTAACAGGGAAAAATAGAAAGGGAAAAGGAGAGCAATCAAAAACATGCAGGTCACTTGGAAATTAGGTAATGAGGGAAAATGCCAAGAAGAGGTTTTGTTTTTTAGTTTGTTGTTTTTCCAGTTTATGTATTGAGACAAAGCGCTCTTCAGCTTTGGGGTAATCATTTTTGGTTTGGTAAAAAGAGTGACCGAAACTTGCCTAAAGATTAATTTTTAGAGGACTCTGAGGAAACCAGATTGGCAGTGAATATACGGTGATGAAGTGAGAAACACTTCAGCAAAGGGTGGAACAAATTAGTAACTGACTTATTACCCATCCCGGCAAAAACAGCAACTTAGATAAGAGTCTAAACTCTCCTTTCAAATCTAGAATATCTTGATGAGAAGGTGGGAGATAAGCAGCTTATAAATAGCAAAATCAACTGGGATTTTGAGTTTACTTGTCCCTGATATACCCACACCCAGGAAAATTAACTGGAATTTTAATACATAACTCTATCTCATACTCCTCTCTGGCCACATCCCAAGCTGATAAAGGATATTGGCCATGTGGGTGAGAGATGAAACTGAAGTGATTGTCTGCTGCAGTAATTCTCAGCTAGAATTGTGCATTACAATGACCTGGGGAAATTTTGTTAAAAGTCTACAAGTGTAGGCTTTCCCCTGAGGATTTTGATGTAATAGATCTAATAAGTTCT
Source organism: Homo sapiens (assembly GCF_000001405.40). Taxonomy (NCBI): domain Eukaryota; kingdom Metazoa; phylum Chordata; class Mammalia; order Primates; family Hominidae; genus Homo; species Homo sapiens. Next base: position 38,614,477 of record NC_000009.12, on the reverse strand, counting down.
GAACATGTATGGTTAAAAATATTTTCTTGAAGCCATGCACTGTGGCATGTTCCTGTAGTCCCAGCTACTCAGGAGGCTGAGGTGGGAGGATTGCTTGAGCCTAGGAGTTTAAGTCCAGCCTGAGGCGGGCAGATCACGAGGTCAGGAGATGGAGACCATCCTGGCTAACATGGTGAAACCCCGTCTCTACTAAAAATACATAGTAAGACTCTTGTCTCTTACCACAACAAGAGCAAAAAAAAAAAAAAAAAAAAAAAACCTCAGTGTTCGAATACACTCCTGATTAAGAAGCACAGAATAGATAAGTGCAGGATATAAATTCCTGTATGTCAAAGACATAAGAAATCTCTAAAAGAGTTGGCATTCGATAGGTGCTACTTTCTTCAAAGTTTTCTTTTCCAATAACATTAAACTGACTTATCTGTCTTTCTCTACATTTGTGACTGGGAAGTGAAAGGGAATATCATTGGCAATATCGCTCAGCTTACAGAATAACACTTTTTGCTTCCCACCATGAATCACTCACTGCCATTCAGACAGTCTTTAGCAATTTACTTGTGGGTAATCTTTCAATAAGTAGAGACTGACCCTTTCACAATTTCATGTTCCTTTGTCACCATTCAAGTGATTATGTGTCAGCAAATGTTCATTACAAGTGAGATTTTCTCAATTAGATCGGTAGCAAATCTTGAACCTTTTTGTTTCAGTTGCAGTTGTATTAGGGACTATCTCAGTATGCCTATTAAGTTTATAGAGCTTTGGCATTATCAGGATGTCAGTTTTAAACACTGAAATCCTTGAAGTCAGTGAGAATACAATAGGAATTCTTTTAATAATTTAGTTTCAGCATTCCTATGAACTAATTGTCCATTTGGTGAACAATCTGGGAAAATTATATGCACATAGATTGCAAATGAATAAATGTTGGGAAAATTCTTGAGGTGGGTATTATGAGTGTTAACAGCAATTTTTATTATGTATATATCAGGGCCTGAGTTTTTTTATTAAACATACGATACTAGACAGAGAAAAAGTTCCACATGCAAATACTTGGTTTATACACAATCATTTAGCAACACATTCACAGCAAATATAAAAACACAAGAGCTATAGTCTAAATGTGGCGTATAGATTTGTTCTTTGCCTCTTTGAATTGAGTCAACATGTAAACTTTAGTGGACTCATGCAGAAGTCTGGACCTCAGGCTTAAGAAACAAATCTGGTGTCCCCAGAACCACATCACTGCTTGGTCTGCTGCGCAGAGGTTGCCCTGGGTAGGAGGCACATATTCTCCAGTTTGCTACTGTGCCCACCTGAGTACTTCACTTACTTAGGTAACCTCCTTCATCCTTATAAGTATTTGAGCTTTAACTCCTTTTTTATAATATATTTTCATAAAGATTTCAAGGTTTTCAAGACAGCATATATTGGTTCATAATATATAGTCTATAGTTTATATAAATCCCTCAATTATAGAGTTGAATTTTAGAATTCAGAAGTTTTTTTAACTCTTTTTTTATATCTATACCACAAATAGTCATCTGCTCATAAGAATGCCTAGAAGCCCTTTTAGGTTATTCCTGCTGAGAAGTGGATAGATTATGAATATTGCAGACATTATATCTTTCTTCTCAGCAATGTCCCTTAAAAATGCAAGTGACGGCCGGGTGCAATGGCTCACACCTGTAATCCCAGCACTTTGGGAGGCTGAGGCGGGCAGATCACGAGGTCAGGAGATGGAGACCATCCTGGCTAACACGGTGAAACCCTAACTCTACTAAAAATACAAAAAGTTAGCCAGGTGTGGTGGCAGGTGCCTGTAGTTCCAGCTACTTGGGAGGCTGAGGCAGGAGAATGGCATGAACTCGGGAGGTGGAGCTTGCAGTGAGCGGAGATCATGCCACTGCACTGCAGCCTGGGTGACAGTGTGAGACCCCATTTCCAAAAAAAAAAAAAGAAAAAGAAAAAAATGCAAGTGACTTATTGGCTCTTATTATGCTAGAAACAAGCCCTATACATCAGTATTAGCACTTTTTTTGATAAGCCATTGTATTTTTATTTCTGATTTATATTTTGCCTAAAGTAAAAAAAATAATGTTAAATAGCAATTTAAATGGAAATCAATACAAATGGATTTAAAAAGTAAAGTTGCATTAACGTCCCAGGATTATCATTATAATTGAGAATAGAATTTCTTACTGAGCTTTGCTTTTTAATATTTATTTTCAAAAAGTTTTAACTGGTCTCTCTTACACAGAACATACTGAGCTTTCTAATAGTTAAGATAAAAATCTATCCTCTTGCATTAGGAGAAATCCCATGGAGTATTTAATAATAAGGAAAATAAGTGCATTTGAAGCCAATCTCTCTTAATTCAGAGCTCATTTCCTTAGTGGCCCCTTTGGATCAGGAGTGCCTGACATTGGCATCCTGAGACCATTGATAGACATAAATCAAGCAAGTTTGTGCCACCCAGAGGAAACCTCCACTTGTATTGGGAAGCTCTGGCAACTGTATCCCTGAAACTCTAGTTCCTAAAATGTTAATGTTTGCCACAAAAAGCATTGTCAAATTGAGATTAGGCAAAGTTCAAGGGATTTCTAGATTGTTGGCCATGTAATATAGTTTTTAATACTTCTCAAATGCAGATGATCATGGAATCTTTTTGTTGGGGTACAGTTCTTTCGGTAAAACAACTACTCTTTGAAATATAGTTTAAGAAACACTTCTCTAGAGGTAATAATTTAGATCATTAATTTATTTTAAAAACTTAAAGCATTCGCTACTATGTCTTAGGTTTTAGGGTTATAGAGAAAAAAGATACAGCCCTTGCCCTTGAGAATCTCTTGGTTTCAGTGGGAAACAATGAAATAATTACAATGGACTGTGCTAAATGCTGAGATAGAAGCAAGGATTTTGGGGACTGGTAAATAAAGTGAGTTTTGGAGATGACTGAAGTTAATGTGGGGAGGCAGAGGAGGGGTGTTTCAAGGCAGTGTGTGGGAAAGCACAGAGGAGTGAAAGGGACGGGACTGCTTTGCATTTACTTTCTCTCTATATTGCATGTTTAAGTTCATAGCATCTTATAGAAGATTTTTAGTTCAGTGGAGAAATATGTAATTTTGTGAATTATAAATTGTTTTTGCTTTCTTACAGGAGGGAAACACTCCACTTTTGTTTGCTATAAATTCCAGGAGACAGCATATGGTGGAATTTTTATTGAAGAACCAGGCAAATATACATGCCGTTGACAATTTCAAAAGGTGCAATAGTTTTTGTTTTTTGTTTTCTTTTTTCCTAAAAACCTGAGTGTTCTAGAGCGGTAACAGTCACTCAAGTCAGAAATGTTAATAAGATTAAACTTATAATTATTGGCATATAGTAAAAAGTAACATGAATAATCAGGTAGAAAAGAAGTTATTTGGACTAAGCAACACAAAAAACAGTATATAGTAGGATTCATCTTCTCTTATAGACTGTTATTTGTAATTTGGTGTTTTTGGTCCTGTAATCTTATATTAGCTAAAGGGGGTTTGTATTTTATTAATTTTATGAAGTGTAGACTTTAACTTTCAGTTTACAACTACTACTATTACCATTATTATTATTATTATTATTATAGTTGTTGCTGTTGTTGTTGATGCTGTTGTTTTCAGCCTGCAGATAGCTCTTATTTATTTGATCCCTAGCTGACTTTGAATTACAATATAATTCAAAGCAATGGGAAAGCAATGGGAAAATCTTCACCTAAATCTTTGCCCACTTTAGATAAGTGACCTCAGCACAGTTTCTTGGCCATCAAAGGACTATAAATTAGCAATTTGTATTACGTCATGTCCCAATGGGACACGAAGTTTGCTTGTTGTCCCTGCCTTTTAGCCTTGGTGGTAATTTAACAAGATGAACACTTGAGCACCCAAGATGCTTATACACATAAGCTAGTACATGTAAATGGTTATTATGTCTATCCTGACAGGCAAGATATGAAATTGGTAAAGTGTATCCAATTTGCTAATTAAATATCTTCATCAAAGTTCTTGAGTGCTGTTATTTCTTTATTATTTTAGAACAGCCCTCATACTTGCAGTACAGCATAACTTGTCAAGTATCGTCACCCTCCTGCTTCAACAAAATATACGTATCTCTTCTCAAGACATGTTTGGCCAAACTGCCGAGGATTATGCTCTTTGTTCTGATTTGAGAAGGTATGTGCTTATATTAAAAGACCGGTTAATACTAAATTAAGGTTTAAAATAATTGTAACTATTGCATCTTATACATTAGGTGACAGTTCATAGTTTGGTTGAGGTAGCTTGGAATGGCAACAAGTTAGTCCACTTTTTAGCCAGAAATCACACAGAAAGCTAGACTAGTTAGAAGTAGCAATGAGTGCAAGATTCTTTCCGGACTTTTAAAGACCTTTATCCCTAGGAATCTCAGTGTTGTTCATTTTATTCCAAGTATAACTCATATGTGAGATAGAAATAATGTCCATCTTTTACTTTTTCTTTCTTTCTTCCTTTTTTTTTTTTTTTTTGAGACAAGGTCTCACTATGTTGCTCATGTTCCTGAGCTCAAGTGATTCTCCTGCCTTGGCCTCGCAAACTGCTAGCCACCATGCCTGGCCTGACTTTTCTAATTAGTTATTGGGTCTTGAAATGTCCACTTTAGCAGAAAATCTTGTATTATCCCCTAGGGCTACCTCCTATGCCTTCCTCCTTTGAATTTTTCAAAAAGCTAAGGGGTTCCCTAAGCCCAAGGAAGACAATCTTGCTTTACAAGTCAGAAGAAGAGGGGAAAAGGCCATTCTAGTCATTCTGTTGTTTCCATTGATTCACTTGCTGTATTGCTGCCATTGTAACTGGTCCTGCAATCTGGTAATGATTGACTTTTGCCACCAGGATGCCCTTACTGATTCAGATCCCTCACTCTTCATGGTGACTCATACACAGAGTCCACAGCTACAGTGTTTTGTTTTGTTTTGTTTTGTTTTTTTCGAGACGGAGTCTTGCTCAGTCGCCCAGGCTGGAGTGCAGTGGCGCAATCTTGGCTCACTGCAAGCTCCCCTTCCTGGGTTCACGCTATTCTCCTGCCTCAGCCTACCAAGTAACTGGGACTACAGGCGCCCGCCACCATCCCTGGCTAATTTTTTTTGTATTTTTAGTGGTGACGGGGTTTCACCATGTTAGCCAGGATGGTCTCGATCTCCTGACCTTGTGATCCACCCTCCTCGGCCTCCTAAAGTGCTGTGATTACAGGCGTGAGCCACCGCGCCCGGCCCACAGCTACAGTGTTTTTTAGTTCATGTACATAGGCTCAGCCATTGTTCCCAGCACCCTGCTCTGGCAGCGAGGCCTCCTGGCTCTACCCACACACATAGTGAGTAAGTTGACCTTCCCCCAACACTAAAAATCTTATTTGTAGCCCACCTTTTGGCTAGGCTTAGCCTGTACCTTCATGGTATGTTATCCTTTGAGACCAGTGTCCATTTTTTCTCTAGCAAATATTAGTTGGGATTGTACTCAACAGCTAGGGATGTTCAAATAATGTTGCAGGAAGAGAATAGAGGTCTCTTTGCCTTTTGTTATCACATCTGTACCTTGAGGCTTTTTTCTGACCTGTGTACATTATCCTTCAATAGAGTAATGGGGACCAACTTGGAGTTGGCCCCTCAAGTAATGTGTTTCCATAATAATGAAAATCTCTTATATTTATGTGAGATTATATTACATATAGATTATATAATCTATATATTATATAATTATTATATAATGTATATAATTATATTATTTTTATATTTATGTTATTTTAAATTTTTATTTATAGTTTATATTTTATATTTTTATATTTATATTATTATTATAAATATATATAGCTATATAGTTATAGATTATATAATCTATTATTATATAGTTATAGATTATATAATCTATATATTATATAATTATAGATTATATAATCTCATAATGAAAATCATTATAAAAGTATTCATGTAAGGTGATCTGTGAAATGAGAACAGAGCTGAGTAGCACACGGGATGTTACATGCAAATATGTTGTTAGTACATGACTTGGAAATGAGGAAACATCAACTTGCATCTGGAACTGAAAAACAATACAAGCAGGGCTTTGTCTTGTATGTCAGTTGGAGAGGACCAAGAAGATGCAGCCTCTAACACAGACCTGCTGGCTCTGAGTTTGAGGAGGTAGAGAAGGAATGGTAGTTGTCCCAGCCAGGTTTTGACACCTATTAGTTTTCTGCCCTTGGTGTGATTGATGAGTTCAGTAATAGGGGAAAATTAGAGTATATGTTTTAATGAGATAATAATATATTTGTATATAAATTTAGTTACAAGTTATGAACTAGCTAAAATGCTCTGAACTACAAGCCACAATAAATAGAACTAATAACCAAAATTAGCACTTAATAACATTCTCTGAAAACTGTGACATTCGAATATTAGAAACTATGGAAAAACACTCATCAGGTTTTATTTGAGATTCCAAAATGGTTTCAGCAATGCAGTTCAAGAATAAATTTTTCCATTGCTTTACTATTTCTCTGAACATTTAAACATGTTTTCTCATTGCATCTTCCTAATGACCTAGTGAAGTCAAGTAGTAAAACCTTTATTTTTTAGAAGAAGCCATGGAGGCTAAGAGAAGCAACTGGTCTGAAAACAAAATACCTATTGGTTACAGAGCGAGGACTTACTGTGAATGCAGGACAGTTTCCAGGCTGTTAAGCTAACTAGAATTAATTTACTGAGCTATGCTTTTCTCAGTTTATGAGCACTTCCTGTTTTTCTTGTTCAATTAGAAGCTTAATAAGTTTATAGAGCTTAAAATTTTAAAGTGTATCGGACATTAGATTTCTGATATTAGCTCTGATATTGTCTGAAATGCTTTAAGAATTTAATCTGTTTGGCAAATATTTTTCATATCACTATTAAAATACTAATTTTATTACGTTTATTATGCATAGCATCCGACAACAAATTTTGGAACATAAAAATAAAATGCTTAAAAATCATCTTCGAAATGACAATCAAGGTAAGACTTCTGATAGTAAATTTCTCATTTCCCTTGGTGATCTTACTGATTTTAAAAAGCAAAATTACAGGCCAGGCATGGTGGCTCACACCTGTAATCCCAGCACTTTGGGAGGCCGAGGCGGGTGGATCACCTGAGGTCAGGATTTTGAGACCAGCCTGGCTAACATGGTGAAACCCCATGTCTACTAAAAATACAAAAATTAGCTGGGCATCATGGCGGGCGCCTGTAATCCCAGCTACTCGGGAGGCTGAGGCAGAAGAATCACTTGAACCCGGGAAGTGGAGGTTGCAGTGAGCCGAGATTGCACCACTGCACTCCAGCCTGGATGGAAGAGCAAGACTCTATCTCCAAAGAAAACAAAAAGTGAGATTACATATTTTTAATCATAAAAGAGCAGTTTAAAATATATATGTTTATATATAAATTAATTTTTTAAATTTAATTTCTTTAGTTTAGAATTCAGAGTTATTTAGGAATTTGTAGCTAATTCTCAATCTCAAACAGTATTGTCTGAAAAAATTCATTTACCTACTTATGATCCTTGAAATTCTACATATTTTTGTATTAATATAAATAAGAAATTAGATTAAGTTAATATGTTGCAATTTCCTCCATAATTACATTGTTACGCATTGGACTTGTTATGCAAATGGATCTTCTATTTAATTTTTATAGTAAATGGTTTACATTTAGTAACTAAATATTAATTCCAATTGATTCTTGAATATTGTGGGGGTTAGGGACTGTGATCCCTGTGGAGTTGAAAATCTGAGTATAACTTTGACTCCTTCCAAACGTAACTACTAATAACCTACCATTGACTGGAAACTTTACTGATAACATGAACAGTCAGTGAACACGTATTTGTATGTGTTGCATTATTATATACTATGCTTTTAGAATAAAGGAAGCTAGAGAAATGAAGCTGTTATAAAGAAAATCATAGAAAAGAAAAAAATATACTTACTGTTCATAAACATAAGCAAATCCTCCCAAAAGTCTTCATCTTTATCATCTTCAGGTTGATTAGGCTGAGGAGGAAGAAAATGGTTGGTTTTGCTGTCTCTGGGTTGCAGAAGCAGAAGAAAAATCTGCGTATAAGTGGACCCCTGCAGTTCAAACTCTTGTTGTTCAAGGGTCAACTGCATTACACAGGAATCTGTGTCACTAAGAACGTAACTGTCTTTAGAACTAGGAATTCAACAATCCCTTTCTGACACCGTAAACAAATGGCAATAAGAACCATAAAACTGAGCTAATGTGCACCCATACAAATAGGAGATTATTTTTGAAGATAGCTACTGAATGCAGAAGACAGAAAAGTAATTCCTTTCCAAGAAGCAGAAGTTATGTTACATATTCTTATACAAACAAGGTCTATTTTTAATTTATTCACCATAAGTTGGAACCTCATGAGATATATTCACTTCTTAGAACAAGCTGTGTTTTTTTATGTGCTGGATAATTATTATAATAATAGTAATTTTATTGGAACAAGATAATCTGTTACCAGGCTGGGCGTGGTGGCTCATGTGTAATCCCAGCACATGGGAGACCAAGGAAGGCAGATCACTTGAGGTCAGGAGTTTGAGACCAGCCTGACCAACATGGTGAAACCCTATCTCTACTAAAAGTACAAAAATTAGCCAGGCATGGGGGTGGGCACCTGTATTCCCAACTACTCTGGAGGCTGAGGCAGAAGAATTGCTTGAACCCAGGAGGTGGAGATTGCAGTGAGCCGGAATGCACCACTGCACTCCAGCCTGGGTGACAGAGCAAGATTCCATCTCAAAAAAAACCATACTCTGTTACCATTAGGCAAGAGATAATCATAATAAATGTTCCAATAGCCAAACTCTAGGCTCCAAAAATTATAATAAAATTATAAAAATGGTTCACAATAACAAAAATGTAACACCTAATGCATTGTACAATCTGAACTGTATAAAGACACCGTTAACTTAGTACATAATTGTCAAACCACTTCTATAAGTTAGGTTTGGCAAATTGCAGGAGACAAAGATGGAATTGACATAGTTTTTGTCTTTAAGGTGCTCATAATAGAATATAGATAACTATTTAATTTTTGTGTTTTTTCAACAGAGTTTTTAAGAAAAATACTGTAATTCATTCAAATACTTGTCCACTTAAATAATAACTATCATGTATCTGTTACAGACTAAGCATTTTTCCAATGTTACAAAATACATTTAAAAAATACAGTTGGGAGATTGTTATTACCACTGTTATTTATTTTATTTACTACCTGAAATAGTGCTTACTGTGTGTCCAATGTCATCTGGGAGCTTATAGTTATTATTTATTACATATGTATCACGTTCAGTATGTGCCAGGCACGTTTACGTTTGTGGTGATGAATGCAATCTTCTAAAATGTGGGTAGGATTTAGGGTAAGCGTGCAGAGTGAGTGGAACTTTGCCAGGTAAGGAGGCAGAGGGATGATGCTTGGCAGAAAGAGTATCTAACAAGCTTGCATGTTTGACAGAAGCAGCAGCCATGAAGAATGAAAGTTTTAAAACACAAGGAGCAAGTTCAAAAGGTAGGACACCTGAGTGAACTTTGTAGAGTTTATGAGCAGTTCAAATTTACTAGTGCAAAAAAAAAATATATGGAGTGCTTGGTAATGAGGTGAAAATAGCTTATAGTTATTATTTATTATACTTAGTACGTGTCAGTGAAGGCAAGCTTGGGAAAGACTTTGTTGTTGTTTTACCTGTGTCTAGATACAAGTTCAATAAAAGACTTCTAATAGTATAGAAATGAGTAGATCTTATCCTGTAGGCCAGGGGAAACTTCTGAGGTAGAATGCTTTTGGCTGCAAATACTGGAAGACCTAACAGTGGCCAAAACCATAAGAACCAGACTTGTTTTGGTTGTCCAGTGATATTATTGGATTCCACTTGTTCCTCTTTCAGTTATGCTGTTGGCAGTGTCTTGTTCATGTCTCCCTTCATGGTTGGCTACTTAGCAACAGCTCCAAACACCATGTTCTCACAAGACAGTATCTAAAGGCTGGAAGGGCTGCTTTTCTTCACATGTGTCTTTTAAATTGGGAGAAAATTCAGAAGCATGCAGGGGACTTTTTGTAAATTTTTTTTTCCTTCGGGGATGTAGTCTCGCTCTATCACCAGTCTGGAGTCCAGTGGCATGATCTCAGATTACTGCAGCCTTCACCTCCCAGGTTCAAGCAATTCTCCTGCCTCAGCCTCCCGAGGAGCTGGGACAACAGGCACATGCGACCATGCCCAGGTAATTTTTGTATTTTTAGTAGAGACAGGGTTTCACCATGTTGGCCAGAATGGTCTCAGTCTCTTGACCTCGTGATCCGCCTGCCTCAGCCTCCCAAAGTGCTGGGATTACAAAGATGAGCCACCGTGCTCAGCCCTTTCTGTAATATTTTATTAGCTGGGTCACACCACATGCTCATTCCTAAACCAGGCACTGGGAAAGCAAATGTAGTTATATGATTAGCTTAGAATAATCACTTATGTTTTGAAGATGAGGAGGGGTATTGGGATAATAAATATCCACATAGATTTGTGATTCTCCAGCAAGAAACAACAAGGAACTGCTCTTGGGTAGGGAGCCAACAGTGTTTGCTCTAGAAATTCATTGGAAAATTGTAAGCAGGGGAGGCATTAGATTCAATTTGAGATTTAGGGCATTCTGTTCAGGGTATAAAGCTGGGATTGGCAAGCTTTCTCTGTAAAGGGCCAAATAGGAAATATTTTAGGCCATGTGGTCTCTCTCTCTCTTTTTCAAGAACGATTTAAGCAGCTGAAGGCCATGTGGTCTCTGTCGTAGCTACTCAACCCTGCCATTGTAGTGTGAAAGCCGTCATAGGTAGCATGTCAGTGAATAGGCATGACTGTACTCTCATAAAACTGCATTGAGAAAAAACATATGGTAGGCAGGATTTGGCCTGTGGTCTGCAGTGTACTGACCCATTTTGTAGAGGATAGATGGAGGATAGATGTCACCTGGGAGCCTATAGTTATTATTTACTGTGTATTTGGTATGTTCATTAGATGCCATTCACTTTTAAATTTGTGGTGATGAGTGCAAGCTTCTAAAAAAGATGGGTAGGATTTAGGGTAAGCATGCAGAGTAAGTGAAACTTTGCCAGGTAAGGAGGCAGAGGGATGATGTTTTCCAGAAGGAATATCTAACAAGTTTGCATGTTTGACAGAAACAGCAGCTATGAAGCCTGCAAATTTGAAAAAAAGAAAAGAACGTGCAAAAGGTAAGACACTTGAGTTCTCTACTCCTAACCATGTAAAGAGACTGGGAGACAAGGGAAGCTTCAGCCGTAGTTAATGGTATAGTTTCCTTGTCACAAATCCATGGAGTACATCAGTCTATTACAAGGTTTTCACCCATCCATGATAAAATAAAATGATGGAGCTCCAGTTTATTCATTTGAAAATATTGGTGTTGCTGGGGACGGTGGCTCCTGCCTGTAATGAGTCAGTGTTGGAGGCTGAGATAGAAGCATCCCTTGAGGCTTGGAGGTCCAGCAGCCTGGGCAACATCGCCAGACCCCGTGACTATTTTTTCAAAAACTGTAACTGGGTGTGGTGTTCTGCACCTGTAATTCCAGCTACCTGGGAGGCCAAAGCAGGAGAATTACTTCAGCCTAGAACTTTGAGCCTGCAGTTAGCTGTGATAGCAACATTATACTGTAGCCTGGGTGGCAGAGTGAGACCCCATCTCTCAGAAAATTCAAGTCAAATAAGATAAGATACAATAAAATAAAATGTTGGTCTTTTTCTTGGAATTATGCTTTTCTAATTTGTTTTGCTTTTTTAAAAAATTTAAGAAATGACAATAATAGTTGGTTTATATAAGGCTTTCAGAAACTGGCTTCTGCCCAATTCTCCATCTGCAGCCCTTTCTCTGTCTGCCCCTTTTTCTGGCATTTCTGAGCTGCTGGTGATGCCCCTGTCACCATCCTTCTCATGTAAACAAAAACATACGCTCTGGGAGGCTTCTCTCCCTCTCTTGCCGCTGCCTGGCATGTGCTATCTTTCCTGCCCTCTGCCTCTTTTAATCTGGTGAATCTCACTGTCTAAGTCTCAGCTCAGGCATGATCTCTAGAAAAGCCATCCCTGACAGCTTTTATTCTCATTCTTTAAACACCTGTGCCTACCACTTAGCAGGAACTCAATAAATATTTAGTAAAATAAAGACTGTCTACACAGAGATGATTGCTACAGTCTAGCAACAAAGGGGATAGACATGCAAAGACCTGATGTGCAGCTCAGATGGTGAAGTGACACTAGAAAAATTCAAAAAGTACGAAGGGAGCCCCAAGAAAGGAGACACCTGTGTACGTGGAGAAAAGATAGCCAGATTCAGGGAGGACTTCACATAGAATTTTGAGCCTTTTTTCCTTTTTTTTTTTTTTTTTCTGTTTTTGGAAACAAGTTTTTACTCTGACACCCAGGGTGGAGTGCAATGGCATGACCGAGACTCACTGCAAACTGAAACTCCTGGGCTTAAGGGATCCTCTTGCCTCAACCTCTTGAGTACCTGGGACTATAGGCACAGACCACTATGCCTGGCAAATTTTCTATAGAGTCAGGGTTTCACTATGGTCTCTGGGCTGATCTTAAACTCCTGGCTTCAAGCAGTTATCCCACCTGGGCCTTCCAAAGTGCTGGGATTACAGGTGTGAGCTACGTGCCCAGCCTACATTCTGAGTCTTAAAACACAAAAATAAATTCCTCAGAATTGTAGAGGAAAATATTTCAGATGTAAAAAACAGGGTGTACACTGTAAAGGTATAACAGTAACAAAAATTTTGCAAATTATTAGTAAATAACGTGCTTAGCATGTTGTTAAAAAGATACTATTATGAAGCAGAGAATAGTAAAGTGTTACTTTATATGTTTTTACTGTATTTTTAAATTTTGTTTTGTTTCCAGCAGTTTTGTTTTTTTATATTGGGTGGAATAATTTTTGGGTGACCCTGAGACTTTTGCATGGCTTGAACCTGCTGATATCTAGCGTCTCCCCAAGTGGTTTGTTAAAGTTTTAGGTAATTAGAAATGTTTCTTAAAAATGTAAATATTCCAGTAAACATTAAGCTTCATTTAAACTCTCAATTTATAAAAGTGTGTGTTGTTCTGTATCAATTTTTATAAAGATTATAGTCTTTAAATCATTCATTTTAACTAAACATATGGATTTGTCAGCAGAACACAACCTAAAAGTGGCTTCAGAGGAAAAGCAAGAAAGGCTCCAAAGAAGTGAAAATAAACAGCCACAGGTATGTAACAATTTAAATTTCTGGTTTAATACTGGTTTGTTTGTTTGTTTTTCTTTAATAACATAGCATAGGCCAAATGAAGTGACCTTTTAGACTATCCTTTTAGAATCCAACAGAGCATAATTTCATATTGAATTTTAAAATATTTTAGCCTGTTATAAAATGTAAAATATTCTAATAGTCTATAGTAACTCATAGCTATCTGTACCCTTGGAATTGAGGCCAGAAATTTCCAGAACTCTCTTTGCTCTTTTATTTTTATAATCTTCTTCCTGATAAAGAAGGTAACATCAAAAATGGAGTTGTATTACTAAGCAAGAGAAATGATGAGCAATTGAACGGTGATGGCCACTGAGTTCACCTCATGTGAAAGGAGTCATCATTCCCGGTGGTTCAAACTGCAATTTTATGTTGCCGGTCACCAGTGCTGAGGTTAAAGACTTCTTCTGTTTTTTGGTTTCTGGTTGCCTTCAGTGTCTATGTTCAGGGAGAAGATGGGGTCATAAAAGCAATCCAACTGCCTATTGAGAGAATTATGCTTTCCAGAATGGGACTTTGGTGTCAGGGTGCAAACAATAACTTTCTTGTTTTAACATAAGTAGAAAATGCTATTAAAATTTGTAAAGCGCTGTCACTAGTGGAGCTTAGAATATATTAGATCTGGGTATAAGCAGATAACCTATCTAGATAACACTATCATATTACAGTATAGCATTTGAAGTAGAATCTAAAAGTTTTCTTCCCTTTCTGATTGGTATTCATTTTGGCTTCTAATAATTTAGCATTTGCCTACTCTTTAATTAATCCTAGAAATATGAATTCACTGTAGGGGTTCACTATTTAGGGTATGCTGAGGTAAAAATCTTTTCAAGAGAGAAAGCCTTTAGATACTACATATCATCTGTGAACCTATTTCTGTCAGATTTAATTGATAATGAATTAAGTTTACTCCAAACAAACAGTGAGAGTTAAGCTTCCTGGTTCACGTTTTTCCCCTATATTAAGCCAAGGGAAATTATTTTTACTTCTTAGTTATAATCCAGCAACTTAGGAGTAGTAAAACATAGATTAAGTTTCACAGTTCAGTTTTAATTATTTTCTATTTTTTCTTTGTTCATACTTAATTTAGAATAAAGTTAATTTTAAAACATGCACCCTGTCAGAAAAGACATCTGAGAAACAATTTAGAATAAAGTTAATTTTAAAACCTGCACCCTGTCAGAAAAGACATTTGAGAAACAAAAGAAGCAAATTAATTTTCCACTTTTGCACCTGCAAAAAAATGTCTCAAGAACCAGAACTGAGTAAGAATTGTAATAAAGAGGATATATCTGTATATTCAGGACTTCCTTTAAAATTCATTACAATTCTGGGCGTGGTGGCTCACACCTGTAATCCCAGCACTTCGGGAGGCTGAGGCAGGCAGATCATCTGAGGTCAGGAGTTCGAGACCAGCCTGACCAACATGGAGAAACCCCGTCTCTACTAAAAATACAAAATTAGCTGGGTGTGGTGGTGCATGCCTGTAATCCCAGCTACTCGGGAGGCTGAGGCAGGAGAATTGCTTGAACCTGAGAGGCAGAGGTTGTGTTGAGCCAAGATTATGCCATTGCACTCCAGCCTGGGCAACAAGAGTGAAAGTCCATCTCAAAAAAAAAAAAAATTCATTACAAAAAAGTTCAACTGAAGATTGGTGAAAGTTTTGAAAAATCCAGAATTACTGTTTGTCCTGAGGAAGAGCTCTTACACTGTAACTCTAAAGAGGGACAAACTTAAAGGGAGTGCCCCGTAATCTGATGAATCCTATCCCTGATGGTGAGGAAGCAGACGCACCTGGAGTGTCTAACTCTGTGGTATTCTAGGCATTGGCTGAACAGAAGGAGCCCATCTCACTCAGGTCTTATCGTTGCATTTATACTCTGGGTCCCTCCAACACACTTGCCAGTCATCTTCTAAGCTTTATTCAAATGAAAATAGATCAGACTGTAAAAATTATAACAAACCAGACATGCAGCCTGTTTCTCACAGAGAAGAAGAAGAAAGAGAATTGTTGTAATGATACAGAAATTGAAAAATTAAGGAACCCAGTAGTTATGGCTGAAATGAAAAAAGACCAAGAGTTTGATATGCAAATACGAGAAAATATAACCCAAAATACCACAGATTGGAAATTAGTCATTAGACATTGGCCTCAGTCTGTAGATCCAAAAAGTCTTTTTGATTTGTGGTTTGCTCACTCCAAAGAATGGAAGCATGTGATACGAATAGAAAGCTACAGTATTTCTGCTATTGCAGACACTTATGAAGCCGAAAACCAATACAGCGCTTGTTCCACAAGCCATATGGAACTTAGAAGCTCTTCTAAAGCTTAGAAGGTGTTTGGCAAGTGTGTTTCAGGGACCCACATATGACAGTCCCACTGCTAATATCTATAAAAGCATGAAACCTGAATTAGAAAATGTGAGTTATTCTCCACCACATAGTGATGACAGAACATCAAAAGCATGTCTAGAAGAAGACTTACAGCAAGATATGCAAAGGCTTAAGAATGAGATAGGCTTGTTACAAGTAGAGTTCCTGGCTTTGAAGAAAAAAAGTTCAACTATAAAAGAGGTTCCTTTGCTGCTTCTCTTATTATAAGTTATCTGATCCGTTCTGGTTTTCTACTCAAGAAAATCTCATGTGTATAGTTACAGTGGGGTTATCTAAATGTGTAATTATGTGTCAAAGTAGATTAGTGCTGCTATCTAAATGACGGTTCTGGAAAACATTCTCATAATCTTTGTTCATTCATCAACCTAAGTCTCACTGTGAGTTTTCCAAGTGGCATATGGGCTGGGAAAATTATTTGGCCATATACCATGTGACCTTCTGAACCAGATAAGCATAAGGGAAATTGCTAAAGAAATAATGTCTAGATTCTTTTTTCTGTATTCATTTAAAGATGAATTACATTTATTTAAATGATAAAATGGTAAGACAGTGGGAGGAAAGCAATGACTGAGAAGAGACATGAAAATGTATCTGACCTTGAGAGTTGCAACAAATATTCCCAGCCAAACCAGTCTGTTTAATGTGCTTTCATGCATGCAAGTTTATCTGTTTGACTCAAACTGTTTAAACTTATAATTCCATCATGGCCACTTTAAATGTTTTTGGAAACAAATACACATACTTTCACATATTTAAGAAAATCACCACTCTCCAATGTTTCTGTTGAATCAGACTTTTACATGATGTTGTTTAATAAAATATGGTAGGTTTTGACATGTATGATTTTATCATATAAGTAGCGTAACTCCTCAGCCAAAAATTTAGCATTTGACTCTATAGTAGAAGGCTGAGTCCTGTACGTTATGTTCTAAAGATAGACAAAAATCTAGAGATTTTCTTCTTTCAAAGTAAAAGCAGATGAGGCCTCCCACCACCCTCTGAGCCATTAAATTGTTTTGCCAAAGTCACACTTTTAATTTATTTGACAAATTTGATGTATTTATCTGGTAATTGATGTAATTCAGCAATATGTAATTGTATCTTCCCTTTTGGTGCCACGAAATGCTAGGCAATGCCACCTTAGGAGCTTTGGGTGAGTTACTTAATATTTCTTGGTTTTACTTCCAGTATCAAGTAGATATGGGGCTAGAGTGGACAGCTATACTGTGTATCTTCCAGCTACAAACTTCTGTGGTGATTGAATGTAAATTTGAGGAACATCTCATTTTCCAGGATTCCACACTAGAAACTCAGCAGTTTCACTCGGCTCCTTGTGTTGTGGCAAACTTTGGTTCCTCTATTTCAATGAGCACCTTCACTTTTTTGATATCCCAGGAACCAAATGAAAAAATAAGGAGAAAAGGCAGTGGGGAAAAGAATATCTTAGTGCAGAAAAGGGAAAGCTTCTTTTCTGTTTCTGAAGCCCCACAAGGTCACATCCTCTCAATCTGGCTATTTCATGGAGAATCCAGGTGACAAAGGCAGAAGACACATTTTATGCCTGTGTCTTTTTGTTTCTCTGTTTTTGTGTTGATATATTTATACCACAGAGGTAACTGTGATCTGATGGAGAACTAGAAGTAGAGTCAGAAGCCCTGAGGAAAATCCTGCAGCTTGCTTATATTTTTAACCTGTCTTTTTTAAGGATTGTGATAACTAAATAAGTTCATCAATGTATGTATGTAGAAGTGCTTAGTACAATGTCTAGATTTATGATTTAGTAAATGTAATTCTTACAACTAAAAAATGTTGAGTCAAATCACAATAGAATATGATCAGGGAAACAGAACTTTTAAAACTTTGAGAGATTTTATCTGTCCAAATAGATGTCGAGGTAAAGGTCTTACTATAGGGTGGTGTCTGGGTTAGATATCAGAGTATAAATGCAATTTCCTTTTTCCAAGATTTTAATTTAGTCAAATTTTTTAACAACTTTATGCTTTGAGTTTGTTGTAATTCAGAGAAAGGCTTTTCCAATTCTGATATTCTTAAAAATTCTCTAGAGTGTGTGTGTGTGTATTTTATGGATTCATTGACTTCAAATACATTTTTGAACTTTTTGAAATGTATGTTCTCTAAGGTTCAAGGTTTTGCTTCAACTTTTTCTCCAGTTGGATATCCACTTACAGCAACTTTTAATTGCATGAATGTATAGATTGCTCTTTCACTTCAGAAATAACCATCATAGATTATTTTATTGAGTGCTAACTAAAAATTTGTTTTGTTTTATTTAGGATTCTCAAAGTTACGGAAAAAAGAAGGATGCGATGTATGGAAATTTTATGTTGAAGAAAGACATTGCCATGCTCAAAGAGGAATTATATGCAATAAAAAATGACAGTCTCAGAAAGGAAAAGAAATATATTCAGGAAATTAAAAGCATTACAGAAATAAATGCTAACTTTGAAAAGAGTGTAAGACTCAATGAAAAAATGATAACAAAAACAGTGGCCCGGTATTCGCAACAGCTTAATGATCTGAAAGCTGAGAATGCAAGGCTGAATTCAGAATTGGAGAAGGAAAAACACAACAAAGAAAGACTAGAAGCTGAAGTTGAATCCCTCCATTCTAGCCTGGCCACTGCTATAAATGAGTACAATGAAATTGTGGAAAGAAAAGACCTAGAACTAGTTTTATGGAGAGCAGATGATGTTTCTAGACATGAAAAAATGGGTTCTAATATTTCTCAACTAACAGATAAGAATGAGTTGCTTACTGAACAGGTCCATAAAGCTCGGGTGAAGTTCAATACCTTAAAAGGTAAGCTCCGTGAGACAAGAGATGCTCTCAGGGAAAAGACATTGGCTTTAGGAAGTGTACAGCTGGACCTAAGGCAAGCACAGCATCGAATAAAGGAAATGAAGCAGATGCATCCAAATGGAGAAGCTAAAGAAAGTCAATCCATTGGAAAGCAGAACTCTTTAGAGGAGAGAATACGTCAACAAGAACTTGAAAATCTCTTGCTTGAACGACAACTAGAGGATGCTCGTAAGGAAGGCGATAATAAAGAGATAGTCATTAATATCCACAGAGACTGTCTTGAGAATGGAAAGGAAGATCTTCTAGAAGAAAGAAATAAGGAATTAATGAAAGAATATAATTATTTAAAAGAAAAACTGCTTCAGTGTGAAAAAGAAAAAGCAGAAAGAGAAGTAAGTATGAAGAAAACTATAAACTTCTGGAAAGAAAATTTAAATATTTCATTCTGGCTATATGTTGAACCTAGTTCAATATACAAATAAATAGATGAAAATGTGTTTACCATTCTGTATAATTCCATTTACATGAATCATCCAGGAAATACATCTATAGGGACAGAAAGATGATTAATGTTTGTGTAGGCCTGGGGCTGGAAGCGGGTCGTGACTGCTAATGGGCATTAGGGATTGTCCTGGAGTGATGAAAATGTTCTAAAGTTGGATTGTAGAGATGGTTGCACGACACAGTAAATTTACTAAAAATCTTTGAACTGTTTGTTAAAAAAGATAAATTCTATAAATCATATTTCAACAAAGCTGTTTGAATAAAAATCATATTTCAACAAAGCTGTTTTAGTAAACCAAAAAAGTGTTTACTATATCAGCTTGGAAACATGCTTTGTTTCCAGGAGATAAAAGGTAGAGCTGACAAGATGCTTTCCTTTGAGTAAAGACATTATGTCACCTATGAAATGTTAGTAGATGCAGAGCAATGCTGATAAGGTGTGTAGTCTTAGACTACTGAAATAAGAAATGTAACGTCTTCATGTTGCCGCATTTTAAGAGCATAATGAAGCAGGTAAGTGGAAATGCTTGTACCTGAAATGTGTATTTTGAAAATCAGATTCAATTAAGTGAGCTGCTTTGACACTTAATTCTAGATTTTCCAGATGAACTGAAGTGTGTTGCTGTGTCTTGTGATGCTTTTCCTTCAGTGGCTCTCTCTTATATGTATTTTAGTTGGTGTAACTTTGTTTTGATTCATGCCAATGTGACTTAAGTCTGAAAATATGTCAGTCTCACATTATGTATTTTTCTGACCACTTAGTATTTTAAAGACTTCTACTTGTTATAAAATCACAATTTGGAATAAATGTGGTAAATTTTAGCAAAAAAATATTTGATGTAATGTTTCCACTGGCAGGTATTTATAATTTACTGTGAATATTTTTATGAGTAATTAGCTCATAATTTACATTTTAAGTCTCAATGACTATCATTTGGATATAATTCTTTCCAGTACAAAGATACTTTTAGCTGTCTGTGATTTATGAGTTTGACATTGAATCCCCATTTTCAGACTAATGAGGGGTGGCAGAGTTCACAGAGAGTGGGATTGAAGTTTGTACGGGACAGAGTTGTAGGAGCTGAGGTCAGGGAGGGAGGTAGAGGCCATGTTACCTAGGGCCTTGAAGGCCGTTGGAATTTTATTCTGAGGTAGGAATCCGTTGGAAGGATTTCAACAGGCGACTGAATATGTGAGGAACTCAGGTTGAGTTGAGGGTCTAAGGTGAGTGAATAGCGGGCTGGATCAATCTGTCATGTAAGAGAATACCAATTTGGCAGGAATATAACACCTTCTATGTCCCTCACTGAATTCAGTAATAAAGAAGAAAGTGTACATATGAGGAAAAGAAAGTGAATCTGTGTGTGTGGTAATAATTTTCAAAGTATGTATGCTAGACTTAAATATTAACATAATTTAATAATAAGCCACTTTATAAAATTGGTAACAAAAATATTTTGTCAGGTGATTGTGAGAGAATTTCAAGAAGAACTGGTCGATCACCTTAAAACATTTTCAATATCAGAGTCTCCACTGGAAGGTACATCACATTGTCATATTAATTTGAATGAGACATGGACTTCAAAGAAGAAATTATTTCAAGTAGAAATTCAAGTATGTATGGAATTTAACATGTAGACAGTTAATCTGTAGCTGGTTGAATAATATAAAGTGTCTTAGGATACTAATTTCAGTGGACAGCTTGATTTTATATTTTATTATAATTGATCATTACCATTTTATTATCTTTATAACGTACTTCTTCAACTCTGGCTCTTGTTCTGCCATTTTGAAATAATAGTTGCATATGTTTTCTCTTATAATATCTACACTTGGGAAAGTTGAGAATAATACATCATTCCTCACAGAAAATTGACTTTTTTCCCGTTAAACAGTATTTTTAGATAATTTCCTTAATGCCTTGGTGAGGCAAGCCAGATTAAGTCAGAAGAGAATGTTTAATGGAATATTCCAGCAAGTTGTCTTATTTCTTCACTTTTGTGAATGGACACAGCAGCTGTGCGTATTCATTTCATGGATTCTAGGTTAACTTGTACAGAAAGGCCATCATACTGTTCTTTGAAATGCACATGTTTTAGGTTAATTTACAAACTACTTGAAAAGTTAGGCATTGCCTTCATCTTCCTTTCATTTAAAATATACTGTAATGGCGTAGAAATACTCAGATCTAATAGAGTATGTACATCCAAAATGGAGAGCTCAGAAAATTATCTGGATCCTACCATGGGATTTTAAAAACAGTTTCACTGAGAGATAATTCACATGTCAGACAGTTCAACCATTTAAAATGTACAACTCAGTGTCTGTTAGTATATTCACAGTGCTGTGTGGTCATCAGCATAATCAATGGTAGAACATTTTCACCACTCTGAAAAGCAACCCTACATCTCTTAGCCATGACTGCAACCCCACTCCATGTCTCTCCACCTACCCCAGTTGTAGGCAACCACCATCCACTTTTGTCTCCACAGATTTGCATGGTCTGCATATTTAAATACATAGAGTCATACAATATGAAGTCCTTTCTGACTGGCTCTTTCACTTAGCAGAATGTTTTCAGAATTTTATCCATGTTGTAGCACATATCAGTAGTTTATTCCTTCTTATTGTCAAATAATAGTCTATTTCATGGCTACACCAGTTTTCCATTCATTCATCAGCTGATGGACCTTTAGGTTGTTTCCACTTTTTGGCTATTATGAAAACAGCTGTTGCAAACATTCATTTACAGGTTATTGTATGGACATATGTTTTTATTTCCCTGCCATTGGACTCTATCCTCAGAGTTAATTGGGCAGATATCAGCACCAGTTTTACCCATGCTGTCTTTCCTGCCTTCTCAGTTCCTGCTCATCTAGCCTCATTCATTCAGACCTGGCAGGCAATTTCCTCTTCTTGAAGCTTTCTCTGACTGTTCTCTCACTGACCTTACATCTCAGCACTTGTTGCCCAGTCTTCAGAACAACTTAGCCCTTAATTTGACATGGCTTTTCATTTTTAATGGAAGATAATTTTGTCTTAACATAAATTTGCTTAAAGGGAAAATAATATATGACATGAATGTCGCCTATCCTTCTATAAATTGAAAATAGTTTAGCTTGGCAGCTTTCAGCATAGAACAAAATATACCCTACCAATTACTTCTTTGAGACATTAACACAGTAAATCTTTTATTCTAAGTGTATTTTTAGCAATTAAATATGAAATTAAAACCAATTAGTCTAATAGAGGAGAATTGTTCAATCAAATGCTCATGTTTTTCTCAGTATGAAAAAAGAATCTAAATTTGCCTTCCTTCACTATGTAGCCAAAACTGTATTTCTGGATGGTTGCCAGTTTGTCAGCTGAATAGTTCTGGCTGCAGCTTGTCTGATGAAGGACAGCACAGCTCCTTAATCCGAGCGCTCAGCAGAGTACTCGTGAAGGCAGTGCCACAGCAACAGCTGCTGGGAGGGAACTGATTCAGAAGACTTGATTTAGCAATAGAGTCCAGGGTTTTCAGCTCCGTGGCTCAGCCTGTCTCTGCTGGTCATGTCGGTTATGTACTACTCAATCCAGGAGGTGCTGTTTCCATTGTAGTACATACGTGACTGTTGCCCACTGAGTCACACAGAGAGAAGAGTAAGCTATAAATTATACACTCCCCATTTGCTGCCACTTTCAGTGGTGTGAAGAATGATTCAGTGCATCTATAGAAGGCCACTTCCATTGGAATGCCACCTCCCTAACACATACAATGGTCAAGAGATAAAAAACAGTGAAAATTATCATGCTAATAGCAAATATTGTCTGTAGCTCACTATGTACATGTACTCTTCTAAGTGCTTCTAAGCAAATCTTACCTGTAGCTCACCATGCACCACATACTCTTCTAAGTGCTTCATGTCAGTCCCTGGTTTAATCTTCCCAACATCCCAGTGAAGTAGATGGTATTATTCTCTCCATTTCATAGATAAAGAACCGGAGACACAGAAAATTAATTTGCTCAAGGTCGCACGGCTAGTATCTGGTAGATCTGGGATTCAGACCCAGCCCTTCTGGCTTCTGTGTAGAACTGCCTCTCAAACCATTCCATGGAACACCTGGTTGGTGAGGTGGCTCATGCCAGTAATTCTAGCACTTGGGGAAGCTGAGGCAAGAACAGTGCTTGAGCCCAGGAATTTGAGACCAGCCAGAGCAATATAAGTGAGACCCTGACTCTACCAAAAAAAAAAAAAAAATTAAACAGCTGGGGCATGGTGGTGCATGCCTGTAATCCCAGCTACATTGGAGGCTGTGGTAGGAGGGTCGCTTGAGCTCAGAATATCAAGGCTGCAGTGAGCGGTGATCAAGCCACTGCACTCCAGCCTGGGTAACAGAGCAAGCTCTGTCTCATAAATAAAACGTTTTGTATAGATTCCCATAGAATTGAGTTAGACATCAGGCATAGAATTATTAGCCGCTTTGATGTCTGCCTTGGGAGTAAAACATATAATAAGGGGCAGCTTTAAACCATCTCAATCAATAGCCTCTAACTTCTCCAGAAGGTTCTTATTTCATGAATTCCTAAGCAGGAGACTACCTGGATTAAGACATTTGGTGGACACCATTCTGAGATGAAGAATCTCGATCAGGAAGAAGGGAGATCTCTACTTACTGAAGCTTCCCAATGACATAGTTGAGTGTCCCCCAAAAGGAACTTTAGAACAAGATGTTCATCATGCCATATCTCTATGGAAAAGGAAATTCTTTAAAAGAAAACAAAGGCAAACAATTGATAATCTGATTCTCATGGAAAAGTTTTCATTATAAAAGAAAAAAGGGCTGGGTGCCGTGGCTCACATCTGTAATCCCAACACTTTGGGAGGCTGAGGTGGGTGGATTACCTGAGGTCAGAAGTACAAGAAGAGCCTGGCCAACATGGTGAAACCCTGTCTCTACTAAAAATACAAAAATTAGCTGGTGGTGTGCAACTGTAGCCCCAGCTACTTGGGAGGCTGAGGCAGGAGAATCACTTGAACCCAGGAGGTGGAAGTTGCAGTGAGCCGACATGGCACCACTGCACTCTAGCCTGGATGACAGAGTGTGACTCCATCTCAAAAAAAATAAATAAGAAAAAGAAAAAGAAAAAATGGACAAAATATACTGGTACAAAAAAGAAGAAAGAGAGAGAGGAGAGAGAGAGAAAGAAAGAGAGAAAGAAGGAAAAAGAAAGAAAGAAAGAAAAAGAAAGGACAAAGCAAAGTATACTGGTGAATATCCTAAGGGTGAGACAGCCCCCCTTCAAGATTAGAAAATAACACTGTACTCAAAGTAACATCCATAAGAATCAACATAAAATAGACAAGATTCACTATCTACAAAAGTAATCTGCACCAGGTAGCAAATGTATAAGTGTGTGGTTGAGAATATTGTCTATAATATGTGTACTAGAGGGAAGAGGCCTCAGTAAAAAGGTCAGAGCTGGAAATTTATATTAGGGAATCCAGGTTAATGTTTTGAGATATTAGGAGTTCTGAGAGAATTTAAAAAGAGGAGTAGCAGCCAGGCATGGTGGCTCACGCCTGTAATTCCAACATTTTGGGAGGCCGAGGAGGGCAGATCATGTGGTAAGGAGTTCAATACCAGCATGGCCAACATTGTGAAACACCATCTCTGCTAAAAATACAAACAATTAGCTGGGTGAGGTGGTGTTGCAGAATCAGGAGGACCAGAGAGAGACCTTGGGGTGTACACAGGAAGATATCTTTATCGAGTGTACTCAGACCCAGCGGACTCAACATCTGACAAACTGGGCCCAGAACAAAGACAGCACTTGACTTTTATACACACTTCAAAAATGGGGTGGGCTAGCTTGAAGCAGGCTTACAGTTACAGTGGTGTGAAAGCACGGATACAGAGGCAGAACAATTAATTAAATTGTGACAGGTTCATAACTTAGGATTACACATGACCTTTGCCAAGCAACCCAGATGTCTGTTACCTAGGTTTTGCTCTAAAGAGACTTGCACTGGTTTATCTCAAGTTTCAATATAAAAACACAATAAGTGATGAAAAATAGATCTCTGGATGAGACCCTGTGTCATAGAGTCCAATGGAAGGGGAGAAACAGGATAATAGAAAAGCCACAAAAAGTAGACAAAAGTTATTATTTGTGTATTGTAGAAAAAATAAACTTTGTTTAAAGAGAAATGGTTAATAGACAGGGAAAAACCGAAACCTACCGGTGAATACTCACAGAGAATGACAGTATTTAGCTCAGCCTGAAGATAGATGAGGATCAAAAATGTAGTGGGAACTAGATAAGAGTTTTCTAAAAATCATCTTAGTAAGATGTAATTTAACTTGGAATATCTTAAACTATTAATGACAATGTTTCTAGAGCATCTTTAAAAACTAAAATGTAAATATTACTACTCTTAATGTATCTTACTAACCCTTAGTACTTTATGTGTAAAAACTCTCATTTTTAACAAACATTTTTGGCAGTTTAAATTTCAGAAAAGGTAATGATGAAAGTGTGAATCTTTTTTAGCTGTTTTAAGAAAATGACTAGTTTTGAAATCTCGTTATTGGCATCAGGTTTGTAAAATGCACTTTATACAACCGCCTAAATACATATTATTCATCAACTTATGAGAAATAATATTTTTAAGATAGAAGAGGGTCTCTAGATTTTACAAAAATAATTTTAAACACTTTTTTTCAAGCCTGAAGAAAAACATGAAGAATTCAGAAAACTTTTTGAATTAATATCATTACTGAACTATACTGCGGACCAAATAAGAAAGAAAAATCGTGAATTAGAAGAAGAGGCAACTGGGTATGGTTTTCATATTGTAGAACATTTTAACCATTTAGTAATTGATTTAACTCTAACTTTACTTGACTAAAACTTTGATACAAATCCATTTTATGTCTTCATTTTCATAATTAAATGAATTCTGTTTTAAAATGTATTTCAGAAACTGACAACACAACTTTATAGGCATGTGAGCAGGAGTCCATGACCCTTGGACTTTTTTGTTGGAATTATTAAAAAAATCAAATTTCAGTATAAAAACACAATAAGTGATGAAAAATAGATCTCTGGATGAGACCATGTGTCATAGAGTCCAATGGAAGGGGAGAAACGGGGTGGAAGTCAGCTGAGCTGCTGGGGCGAGATTGGGATGAAAAAATTTATATTAAAAATATGTGAAAAAAGAAACTTACAACACAATCTGAAATTTTTTTGAATGCCAAAACATTACGCCTATTTTTATTTATTTATTTATTTATCTTTTGAGACAGAGTCTGGCTCTGTCACCCAGGCTGGAGTGCAATGACGCGATCTCGGCTCACTGCAACCTCTGCCACCTGGGTTCAAGTGATTCTCTTGCCTCAGCCTCCTGAGTAGCTATGATTACAGGTGTGCACCACCCTGCCTGGCTAATTTTTGTATTTTTAGTAGAGATGGGGTTTCACTGTGTTGGTCAGGCTGGTCTCGAACTCCTGACCTCATGATCCACCTGCCTCAGCCTCCCAAAGTTGGCATGAGCCACTGCGCTTAGCAACGTATTCTTTAATGATTTTGAAAACAATAATGACAATGCTTTGGACATGTAATGTCAAGTGCACTTTTCATTATCTAGTTTGAATTTTTATTTCTGAAGATATTTTTGCTGTATTTGGTCATCTTTTCTTCCTTTTGTAATATTCTTCTCTGCTGCATTCAAATTTTTTAAAGACCTATTTGTGTCCTTCTTTAACATCAAAATTTATCTTGATATATAGCTTGTATTTTGTTTCTGCTTCTTTGTTTTTCTTTTAGATATAAAACATATCATGGAAATTTACTCATTTTACATGGGTACCTCCATTGTATACATGAAGTATACATCTTATTAAACTTCTGTTTTACAGAAATAAATTTTATATATAAAAAAGTATAACCTAAAGAAAAAGAGTAAAATGAGCATTCATGTTTTGATCACAGACTTTTTTTAAAAAAATGGAATGTGTCTTTGAAGCCCTGAACACAGCTACTTTTCCATGTATTTACTGAGCACTTAAGTTGGTTTTCTGATTCTAATCAACATTTTTCTGCCATTGTCTTTCTCTACATGGTTTTGTACCTTTCATTTTGTTGACATTATGTCAGTAAAGATCTCTAGATCTCTTCTTCAAAGTCTTTAAATCATCACATATCTCTCTCCACCTTTCCTTTTTTCTAAAACTGCCCGTTTTCTTTTTCTCCTCAATTCAGACATTAAAGATGTTTTCTTCTCTTTTTCTACATTGAATAATGTCCTTGTGCTTTTTGGGTGTACTTTTTTTTCTTCTTATAGACTGTGGTCAACGGATATCAAAATGTATTTTTGTGTCTTTTTCAAACATATATGTGTTTTACTTTTTAAAAATCTTGGTTACTCATCTCTCGGTTATGCCTTATATTTACTAATACGTTATTTCATCTTAGCATACCAAAATGGATATGAATAGTCTATTTATAAAAAACTGTATGGTTAGGCCAGGTGTGGTGGCTCATGCCTGTAATCCCAGCAATTTGGGAGGCCAAGGCAGGTAGATCATTTCAGCTCAGGAGTTCAAAACCAGCCTGACCAACATGGTGAACCCCATCTCTACTAAAAATACAAAATTAGCCAGGCATGGTGGCACATGCCCGTAATCCCAGCTTACTTGGGAGGCTGAGGCAGGAGAATCACTTGAGTCCAGGAAGCAGAAGTTGCAGTGAGCCGTGATCACGCCATCACACTTCAGCCTGAGCAACAAGAGTGAAGTTCCATCTCAAAAAACAAAAACAAACAAAAAAAAAACCAAAAACTGTATGGCTATTATCACTTTACCTGCTATATATACCATAAAATTGTTCTTCATATTATTTATATAAGATTATAATTTCATATAGAATGCTTTCAAACTATGTTCAGTTGAAACTGAGAGGATCATAGTTTATAGATTTGTTTCTTTGATATGCCATAACATAATATCTGTTTAAACAATTATTAAATATTTACTCTTAAAAATACTTGACTTACTAGTTCTTACATTTCTGCAGATATAAGAAATGCCTAGAAATGACAATAAATATGTTAAATGCATTTGCAAATGAGGACTTCAGTTGCCATGGAGACTTAAATACAGACCAACTGAAAATGGATATTCTGTTTAAGAAGCTAAAACAGAAGGTAATTTTAAAAAATTATTATTTTATCTTAAGGTCTAGATTACATGTGTAAGAGGTACAGGTTTGTTACATAGGTAAATGTGTGCCATGATGGTTTGCTGCACGTATCAATGCATCACCTAGGTATTAAGCCCCGTAGGCATTAGCTATTAATCTTGATGCTCTCCCTCCTGACCCCAACAAGCCCCGG
Organism: Homo sapiens; assembly: GCF_000001405.40. Classification (NCBI taxonomy): domain Eukaryota; kingdom Metazoa; phylum Chordata; class Mammalia; order Primates; family Hominidae; genus Homo; species Homo sapiens. The sequence goes on along the minus strand of NC_000009.12, from coordinate 38,585,993 downwards.
TGTTTGTTGTTCCCTTCCCTGAGTCCATGTGTTCTCATCATTCAGCTCCCACTTATAAGTAAGAAGATGCAGTGTTTGGTTTTTTGTTCCTGCGTTAGTGTGCTGAGGATAACAGCTCCGAGTTCATCCATGTCCCTGCAAAAAGCATGATCTCATTCATTTGTATGGCTCCATAGTATTCCATGATGTATATACACCACATTTTTTTATCCTGTCTATCATTGATGGACATCTGGGTTGATTCCATGTCTTTGCTATTGTGAATAGTGCTGCAATGAACATACAAATACATGTGTCTTCATAATACAATAATTTATATTTAAACATAAGGTAATTTTAAATCAGTTTGGGGATTAAAATTATGTAATTTGGAGAAATATTAATAATGGATAAACCCAAATTCAGCCAAAATACATCTAAGGAGGTTGATTCTGAGCCAGTATGGTGACTGTGGCCCTGGATTACCCAATCTCAAGAGCTCTTGAGAATGCTTCATGAGACAGTCACATTACAGTTTGGTTTTGTACATTTCCAGCAGACAGAGTTGTAGGGAAAATCATAAATCAATATGAGGAAGACATACATTGGCTCAGCCTAAAAGTGGGACATCAAAAAGGAGGGGCTAACAAGTCATAGGTGGGTTTTAAGGATTCTTTAGGTGACAATTGATAAAGAAAATCTGTTGTCTAAAACTGGAAATAGGTATAAAGGAAGGCCTTAATTAAGATAAGGTCATTATGGAGGTTAAGGTTCTTATTATGTAGATGAAGCCTCCTAGCTGGCAGCCCTCAGAGAAAATAGAGGGTAAATATATCTTTTCAGACTTGAAATGCATCAGGATCTTAGTTAATCTTCCCTAGATCTGGGAAGACCTAGAAGGGGAGAGATTGGGCTACATTAATGAAGACTTCTTACAGATGCAGATTCCCCCACAGAAGGCAGCTTTGTACTGCCATTTCAATCTCTTGGCCCTGCAACAGCCATTTCAAAATATGTCAAAAAATATATATTTGGGGGTAAAATAACTTTGATTTTTTTCAGCTTCTTCTCTCTGTGATGCTGTACCAGAATCAGGTTAGAAAGTAAACCACATTATAAGAGTTAATAAAACCCATCTGATGAGATTTGATTGTTTGAAGGGTGTGATTCCCAGACCCTTTAGATAGAAACTGGGGCAAAAGAATACAAGGTCTTGCTCCTCAATATAAATCTCTCAGTGCTTTAAGCAGTGAAAGATTTTTCATTTAATTTTACAGACTTGATACTAATAAAAAGATACTTTAAAATATATGTATGTATATATTTTTCCTTACAAAAGATGTGCTGTTGATTCTCTTATGTCTTGAACCCTGGCCAGTGATCTGAAACGAAGCAGCCCATGTCTCCAGATCACTAGTACCAAATAAATTTTGGGGTGTAACAGGTTTATTGAGAAGTAATTAACACACCATGCAATTCACTCATTTAAAATATACAAGTCATTCAATTTTACTATTTTCAGAGTTATGTAATCATCATTACATCAATTTTAGAACACTTTCATCACCCTAAAAACAAACCCCACATCATTTAGCTATCTTCACTAGTTTTCCCTTCCTCCCTCAGCCCTAGGGAACCACCCACCTTCTTTGTATAGATTTGCATATAAGCCTCTGAAATAAAAAGCAAGTGGTCGACTGGGACTGGCTTATTTCACTTAGCATAATTTTTCATGCTGCATCTGTGCTGTAGCAGGTATTGATGCAGGGCTTTCGCTCCTTAGTTCAGCCAAATCTGGGTTCTTCTCTCATGACCAGGAAAAATTAGCCATGTGGACCCATTGAAGGGTGAGAAGGACAGAATTTATTAAGTGAAAGGGAAGCTCTCAGCAAAGAGAGGGGTCCTGCAAACAGATTTCCACCTCACAATTGAATACCAGGACAGGCACACAGGAGCTGAAGAGGCCAGGCTCCTCCTCTGCATAAGGCGTGAATTCCTGGTGGCTCCACCCCATCCCCCCAGTGCATGTGGGCCTCCAGTCTGCTGCTGGCAAGTCCAGGCAAGCCCCTGTGCAGGTTCCCTTATCTGCACCGGACGTTTTATCTGGTGTAGACACTTGTGGGCCTGGAGATTCTCTGGGGACCCTTCCATATCTGCCTAGGCATTTTGCTGTCTCCTGCTTCTATCAGTATCAGTACTAAATTTCTTCTTATTGCTGAGAAATATTCCATTGTATGGATACATTAAACATTTTATGTAACCATTCATGAGGTGATGGACCTTTGGGTTCTTTCCACTTTTTGACTCTTATTAATAATGCTGCTGTAGGCCAGGTGTGTTGGCTCACACCTGTAATCCCAGCACTTTGGGAGGCCAAGGCGGGTGGATCACGAGGTCAGGAGTTCGAGAGCATCCTGGCCAACATGGTGAAACCCTGTCTCTACTAAAAATACAAAAATTAGCTGGGCATGGTGGTGTGTGCCTGTAATCCCAGCTACTCAGGAGACTGAGGCAGGAGAATTGCTTGAACCCGGACCCAGGAGGCAGAGGTTGCAGTGAGCTGAGATCACGCCACTGCACTCCAGCCTGGGCTACGGAACAAGACTCCGTCTCAAAAAAAATATAGTAATAATGCTGCTGTAAACATTTATGTATGAGTTTTTGTGCTTGCATATGTTTTTATTTTTCTGGAGTATATACTTATGACTGGAATTTCTGGGTCATACAGTAACTTCATGCTTAACCTTTTGAGGAGCTGACAGTTTGTTTTCCAAAGTGGCTGCACCACTTTACATCCCCGGCAGCATTGGATAAGGGCTTTAATTTCTTTACATTTTTCCTAACACTTATTTTCTCTTTTTTATTGAACAAAGATTTGGTCCTGTGGTGTGAAGTGATACCACAAGGTGGTTTTGATTTACATTTTCCTAATGACTAATTACATTAAGCATCTATTAATGTGCTTATTATCCGTCTTTATATCTTCTTTGCAGAAATATCTATTCAAATTCTTTGCCCATTTGTTAAATTGGGTTATCTTGTTATTTATGAATGGCAAGGGTTCTTTATATATCCTATATATGTAAGTCCCTTATCAGATATACACTTTTCAAATACTTTCTTCTACTCAGTGTCTTGCCTTTTCACTTCTTGATACTGTCTTCTCAGGCACAGCAGTTTTCAATTTTGAAGTCCATTGAATCCATTTTTCCTTTGGAGTCATAGCTAAGAAAACACTGCCAAATGCAGTCACAAAGATTTATGCCAATGTTTTCTTCTGAGAGTTTTATAGTTTTAGCTGTTACAGTTAACTGTTTTGAGTTAATTTTTAAATATGGTATTAGGTGAGAGTCCAACTTTGTAATTTTTTTTGCACATGGATACCCAGTTGTTCCAATATCATTTATTGAAAAGACTATTTTTTCCCATTCTGTTTTTTTGTTACCTTGTATAAAATCAATTGACTGTAAATGTGCAGGTTTATTTTTAGGTTATCAATTCTTAGTTTATGTCTATTCTTATACGAGGACCAAATTGAATTTACTGAGAAAATTTTTTCAATCATGTTGCATATTACCAGTTGTCTTATGTCATAATAAAAATTAAATGTAGTAGAATATCTTTAACTTCACCTTTTGTGTCTCAAAGGAGTCTGTGGCCAGCTTATACCTTACTTACTCTAAGACATGATGGCAAGTCAGGCTTACGAGACACACTATTTCTTTTTTTCTCCATTTGAACCTTTAGTCTCTTATCCAGTGCCTCCCTCTATAGTTTCATTTTCAGTAAATTTTGGTCGCAGTATCTGCTGAAATAGTCTACTATTTAGTGCCTTATGTTTTACTAACTCATTATAATTCATAGAATCATCCATAGATGTTTACCATCCAGGAAGGAGGAGTTTAAGTCTGAGCTGCCAGCTTTCCTCAGTGGAAATCAAGTGAAGTCATCATCTTTCAGTTCACAGATCCTCTTTCCACCTGGCATCTTGTTCTCTTGTGTAACACTGTGGCTAATCCTTTTCTTGGTGCAGATCTTGCATTCTCAGAAACCACGGTTTCTGTATTGACCTCCTATTACTGAAACAGAGATGCACAGCTCTGCTTTCTAGCTCAGTAGAGGATTCTTGGAATAAAAAGTTTAACTCATTCCAAGAAAAAGTTTTAGGAGTGCAGCACTTAAAAATCAGGTAATATTCAGGCAATTTATCAGAGACAAATAGTAGATTAGTATTTTGAATTTCAAAATTTCAGAGCCAAGTTGTGTGCTATAGAGAAGCATTGCGGTATAATACAGAGATGGGATGGTCTTAACTTCTCCATGCAAACAAACGTGAAGTAAGGTAAAGGAGAAAATGCATTTGATGTCTTAACACTCAAAGTATGCTGTGTTTATTTTACTTCTGTGAAGAGTAAAAGTCATTCCATAATTTTCTCCTTATTTCCTCATTGAGAAAAAGGAAAATGAAAATCGAATACTAGATTGATTAATAAATACTTAGAGCTTCTTCTTTTAGAATTTTCATTAATTGAAATCAGGTAAATGTCTGATTTTGGTTATGTAACCAAGTATTTCCAGTTGTTTTTCAAATCATGTGTCTTCTTGCTTTGCAGTCTTATTTCCTAACTTGAGGGGAAATGGTAAGGAGACACCCTTGCCTTATTATCAGAGTTCATAATTGAAGGGGGTTTTAGGAAAAGTTCCTCCTCAGCAGCTTACATCTCTCTCCTGGTTATCTGCTGTTTCTCAATAATGTTTGTCATCAACAAATTAATCTCAACATTTATTAGATCCTACTTTAAAGGAGACTCTTTTCTGCTACCTAAGTTGTTTCCTGTTGTCTCTTTTTAAAACTTATTTTTCTAACAATTACCCAGAGTTTTGTGGCTTAAAAGAAAAACATTTATTTTGTTCATGAACCTGTGGTTTGGAAAAAGATTGGCCAGGACAGCTTGTCTCTGCTCCCCTCAGGTTCCCTAGGAAGTTGGAGAAATTGAATCATCTGAAGCTTTGCTCACCCATGTGTTTGATGGTTGATGCTGGCCACTGGCTGGAACCTCGGCTGGGGCAGGCAGCATGAACACCGACACTGGCACTCCCAGGCTGTCTTTGTGGACTGATCTCTCTCACAATCTGGGGGCTGAGTTCGAAGGGAAAGCAGTCTGAGATAGGGAAGCTACATGGTATCCCTTTTACTGCATTCTATTCATTAGGAGAAGGCCATCAGTAAGGATGGCCCATATTCTATTCTTTTAATGGGATGAATATAGATTCTCTTTTGTTTTAATTGACATGTATATACATAATTATGGGCTATAGGGTGACATTTTGATAAATTTATATAGTGCATAATGATCAAGCTAACTAGCATATTTACTACTTCTTACTACTTCAATCATTTTTCATTTCTTTGAATTGTGAACATTCAAAATCTTCTAGCTTTTTAAAAATATTCAATAAATCATAGTTAACCATATTCACTCTATAATGCCACAGAACATCAGAACTCATTCCTCTTATCTAACTGTAATTCTGTATCCATTAACCAGACTCCCCTCTCCTACTTCTATGAGCTTTTTTGTTGTTAAGAGACAAGGTCTTGCTAGTGTAGTCTGGGCTCTGGGCAACTGTAGAGTCATCCAGGCTAGAGACAGTGATTTGATCATAGCTCACTGCAGCCTCAACCTCTTGGGCCCATGTGATCCTCTGACCTCACCCTGCTGAGCAGCTAGGATTATGGGCGTGCACCATTGCACCTGTCTGATTTTTTACTTTGTAGAGATGTCTCTCTATGTTGTTCAGGCTGCTCTGGAACTTTTGGCTTCAAGTGATTCTCCTGCCTCGGTCTTTCAAAGTGCTAGGAAATTACGGGCATCAGCCATGTTGCCCAGCCCTCAATTTTTCTTTAGCTCCCACACATGAGTGAGAATGTGCAGTATTTATCTTTCTGTGTCTGCACTTAACATAATATCCTCCAGACTGAGCCACGTGGCTACAAGTAAGAGGATTTCATTTTTTTATATGGTGAGTATTCCATTGTTTATGTGTACCACAATTTTTTTGTCCATTCATTTGTTGATGGACATGTAGGTTGATTTTATACATTAGCTGTTGTGAATAGAGCTACAATAAACATATGAGGACAAGTATCCTTGTGATCTATTGTTTTCTTTTCTGTTGCCTGAATACCCAGTAGTGGGGTTGCTGGATCCCTCGGCAGTTGCATTGTTCATTTTTTGAGAAAGCCTCATGTTGTTTTCTATAGTAGCTGCACTAATTTACCTTCCCACGAACAGCATGTAAGAGTTTACTGTTCTCTGAAACCTCACCAGCACTTTTTTGTGTGTTTTCTGTGATAGCCATTTATTGAAATGGAGCAAGATTATATCACATTGTAGGTTTGATTTGTATTTCCCTGATGATTAGTGATACTGAACATTTTAAAATGTATTTGTTCGCTATTTGTATTTCTTTTTTTTCTCTTAAAAAAAGGAGAAATATCTAATCGGATCTTTTGCCTAGTTTTGAACTCAGATTATTTTTGTTTACTGTCAGGGTGTTTGAGTTCCTTGTGTACTTTGGATATTTGTCTTGTGTATTTGGATATTTTGGATGAATTGCTTGAAAATGTTTTCTTCCATTCTACAGGTTTTCTCTTCACTCAGTTGTAGTACCATTTGTCTATCATTTGTTTGTTGCCTATGCTTCTGATGTCTTACCTATACAAATCTTTGTGCAGACTAATGTCCTGAAGCATTTTCCCTATGTTTACTTATAATAGTTTGATAATTTGGGGCCTTACATTTCAGTCTTCAATCGATTCTGAGTTTATTTTGCTATATGGTGCTATATAGATAGGAAGCTAGTATCATTCTTCATATGGGTAGTTTCCCAGCGCTATTCATTTGAAGAGGGTGTCCTTTCCCCAATGTATGTTCTTGGCACCTTATTCCAAAATAAGTTGGCTGTAAATATGTGGATTTGTTTCTGGGTGCTGTATTCTATGGCCTTTACCCCAAGAATCATTACTTCTTAAAATGCAATTCAAATTAGCATGAAACATTTGCAGTTTAGGGAAAGGCTTATGGCATCAGAATCCTTATTTACAGGATTCATTATTTTGTGTTTTTTTGAGATATTGTCTTTGTCTATCGTCCAGGAAGAAGTGCAGTGATGTGGTCATAATTCACGGCAGCCCTGAACTCTGGGTACAAGCCATCCTTTTGCCTCAGTCTCCCAACTAGCTGGGTCTACAGGCCTGAGCCACCATGCCTGGCTAATTTTTTAAATTTGTTTTTTTGTAGAGATGGGGGTCTCACTATGTTGCTCTGGCTGATCTCAAATTCCTGGCCTCCAGTGATCTTTCTGCCACAGCCTCCTAAAGTGCTGGGATTACAAGCATGAGCCACCATGCCTAGCGTAGAGTATTATATTATTTTCAAAGTCTTATTCTGAGAGCCATTTATTGACTTTGGCCTAAATAACTCAATATGATATCTCTGAAAGTTTTTTTGACAAATTTTGGGGAATGATGATGAGGGAAGAGGGTTAGACACTTTTTACTAAGAGATAACTTAGTGCCATTTAAGGAGGAACAAAAATGAATTATCAGAAAAATAAAAGTAAAAGCAAGTGCAAAAGTTCTGTGGCAAAGATGATGACAGTAAAGCACATTTTTGTGACTCATGGTAGCTTTAACTTTGTTCTTAAAATTCTGAGTAATTTAAGGGTTCACATTTGAAGAATCTACTACATTATAGATAACATTTTATTTCAAGTCAATGCATTTCAAAATTTGCTATTGGTTTTGTATTGGATTATTCTCAGCCTACTTCATTATCAAGCTCTATTATTTTCTTAATGCAGTTTAATGATCTTGTGGCCGAGAAGGAAGCTGTGTCTTCAGAATGTGTCAATTTGGCCAAAGACAATGAAGTTCTTCATCAGGAGTTATTATCTATGAGAAATGTACAAGAGAAATGTGAAAAACTTGAGAAGGATAAAAAGATGTTGGAAGAAGAAGTATTAAATCTTAAGACACATATGGAAAAAGATATGGTAGAACTTGGTAAACTACAAGAATATAAATCGGAGCTGGATGAAAGGGCAGTGCAGGAAATAGAAAAATTAGAAGAAATCCATTTACAGGTTAGTTTTTAAAATCAGGTAAGTTTATCTGTAATGGGCTTTCATTTATTTCACTGCAAACTATATTTTGGATATGTATATATTGTGTTTCCTCTGCCTCTCTTACAGCAATTTCCTTCGTAGAGTTCTAGAAAAAAAGTGACTTTTTTCCTTTTAAATATTTAAATTTCCATTATTATTATAACAAAATCAATCTTTCAAAGTAATGATTCTCACTATAGAGTAAAAGGGGGAATTTGATGATTAAGACCAGGTGGCATAAGAGAAAACTGTGATTTAGAAATTATATGATACTTTTGAATTGGTCTTAAGCTACGTTGTTCATTGTTCACTTTTTAAAATTATAAATGGATTCTATTACTTTTTATAGGACAAGATTACATTAATACTAACATAAGTATGATTTCAAATTTTTTTAAATCAGACAATTCTGAATTCAGTTATTAGTTTTGTTGATATTGCTGATAAATATTTTAAGCTTCAGCCTCTTTTCAACATACTCAAAATTGCTCTTCGAATCACTGATTCAAAATGAAAGGCAACAAACCTATGGTAATTAACTTATAATTGTTTTAAAAGTGTATTCTTTTCATTTGTTTTAGAAACAAGCAGAATATGAAAAACAATTAGAGCAGTTAAACAAGGATAATACGGCTTCACTAAAAAAGAAGGAACTCACACTTAAAGATGTGGAATGTAAATTCTCCAAAATGAAAACTGCTTATGAAGAGGTTACAACTGAATTAGAAGAATTTAAGGAAGCCTTTGCAGGAGCAGTGAAAGCTAACAATTCCATGTCAAAAAAATTAATGAAGTAAGTCAAAACATACACTCATAGAAAATGAATTCAGCTCATTAATTTGTCTTAAAAGCATAATTTTTAGTGAGATGGCTTCAGGAGATCAGTAGGAAGTGAATGCTAATTTGATAATGTAATTTTGGAAAATAATGTTAGTAAATAATCCTACCTTTAAAATGTTCATCAAGGATAGTTTCTGTCTCTCTTCTCTTTTTTTGTTTTTGTGTGGCTTTTTTCCCCTGAAAAGTCTCATGTAGTTAACCTGACCTGTTAGTTTTTTTCACTAAGTATTTTTGAAGCTTTATGATCAATAAAGTGATCTTGTTATAAAATTACTTGTCAGAATTTCCCTAAATGGGAATATTAGTGAGTTTAATTTATTTTTTGGTAGATCACAACCTAAACCCAAAGTGTCAAGTGATACTGCTACTCTGGGCACATCCTGGCACTCAGGCAGGGACTGTTTTTGATTGTGATCTTTGGTATTATCACTAGAGGGTGCCTCAAGAAAGACTATTTGTGTAACATTTTCAAGGTGTTACATAAAGTCATCCTTGTGAAAGAGGGAATAATTATCACAGGAATGAAAAGAAGGGTAATCCACAAGGGTTCAAAAATAACACCTTTTTCAGCCTGAAGGGCTGTGTGGAAGGCAGAAAGAACAAGCCCCACCTCCAGTGCCTTGGTCACGGTGTTGAGGGCTAATTGCCTTCAGAGATGCTTTAGTTCTTTTTGATCACCAACCAACCAGTCTAGTTCTCCCCCAGGAGTTGTTGCTCTGAGTTATTCCTCAGTGCCAAATACTTAAGTGTTCTTAGAGAATGGGTGAAATGTACAAGGGTGAAACCTGAAACTGGTTTACTAAACACAAGTATTTCTAGATTATTTTTGTTCATTTTAGTTTTCTTAATCTACATTATTTAAGGAGTACAACATGATGTTTTCATATAATTATTTATAGTGAAGTAGTTCTTATAGTCAAGCAAATTAACGTAATCATTTTCCCACATAGTTACCCTTTAAATACAAGTATATCTAAAGGAATCTTTAGAATCTTATAAGTAGAGCTATTTTAGAAGGCAGCTAGGTTACCTGTTGAGCCGTACATCACTGATAGCCATTTCTCTTCCCTGTCCACTTTGAACTGCTTGTTCAGTAGAAATCACCTTAGAAACACATATACTTATTTAGGATGATTTTAAAATTACCGTTACTTACAAGAGGTATGCCCTCACACATCTTTGTGTGAAAGCACTGTTTAATGGGTATTTTGGTTTACTCTCAGGGCAACTTTTTAAAAAATGCAAGTCATTAAGAATCATTCAAGGAAAAATGAAATACTAAGCATTTGTCTTTGCTCTCTTTACAGATCGGATAAGAAAATAGCAGTGATCAGCACCAAGCTCTTTACGGAGAAACAGCGGATGAAATATTTTCTCAGCACTCTTCCTACAAGGCCAGAACCAGAGTTACCTTGTGTTGAAAATCTTAATAGTATAGAACTCAACAGAAAATATATTCCCAAAACGGCCATAAGAATTCCTACTTCAAACCCACAGACTTCAAATAACTGCAAGAACTTCTTGACTGAGGTTAGTTATATGACCATTTCTCTTTTGGGTTTCATTTCTCTAATATAATTCTTGTCTATAATTTGATGAAATACTGAGTTCTGTTGACTTACGCATGTTAAGTAAAGATTATAATTAGCTGTGTTAACACAGAAAGGAAATGGAAACTTTACATTTTTTAATTCCCTGGAGCTCTCATTTTCAAGAGACACCCATTTGCTAACTTTATTCAATAAATGTGGTTAAACTGACACATTTAAAATTTCTTTAAAAGCTGCATTTAAGTTAGGTTTTAGAAAATGCATGTTATTGCCTAATAACTGATGGTATACTTTGAAATGCTTTGTCTTACTCTACTTGATTGTAGTTTGTCTGTGGTTCATATCACTTTTTTTTTTTTTTTGAGATGGTGTCTTGCTCTGTTGCCTAGGCTAGAGTGCAGTGGCATGATCTCAGCTCATTGCAACCTCTGCCTCCTGGGTTCAAGTGATTCTCCTGCCTCAGCCTCCCAAGTAGCTGGGACTACAGGTGTCTGCCACCACACCTGGCTAATTTTTGTATTTTTAGTAGAGATGGGATTTCACCATATTGGCCAGGCAGGTCTCGAACTCTTGACCTTGTTATCCACCCACCTCAGCCTCCCAAAGTGCTGGGATTACAGGGGTGAGCCTCTGTGCCCAGCCCATACCACTTTTAAAGTTTCTTTGCACCAACTTAACTCTTTCCACCCATAATCACAAGTGAATGACAGGCAACCAAACACTTAACAACATATAGATATTTATTATTTAATAGAACCCCAAATAAGTGCATTTTATGAATTAAATAAACAAAACACTGAAAGGTTCATTTCCATTTTTCTGTTAAAAGCTTTGTGCTTGGCCAGGTGTGGTGGCTCACACCTGTAATCCCAGCATTTTGGGAGGCCGAGGCAGGCGGATCACCTGAGGACAGGAGTTTGATACCAGCCTGGCCAACATGATGAAACCCCGTCTCTACTAAAACTACAAAAATTAGCCAGGTGTGGTGGCAGGCACCTGTAATCCCACATGCAGCAACCCCATTACTATACTAGGGTTATACCTAAAGGAAAATATAAATCATTGTAACAAAAAGATGCATGCACATGTATGTTCATTGCAGCACTATTCACAATAGCAAAGACATGGAGTCAATCCAGGTGCACCCAAGGTAGTTTGAAAATCCAAGGTAGATTGGAAAATTCCATATATACCAAATACTATGCAGCCATGAAAAGAATAAAATCATGTCCTTTGCAGCAACATGGATACAGCTGGAATCCACTATCCTAAGGAAACTAACGCAGAAACAGAAACCAAATATCTTGTTTGCTCTCATATGTGGGAGCTACACATCAGGTGCCCATTGACATAAACATGGGAACAATAGACACTGGGAAATAAGAATGGGGAGGGACAGAGTGGGCCAGGGTTGAAAAACTGCTTCTTGGGTCCTATGCTCACTACCTGTGTGATGGGTTCAATTGTACTCCAAACCTTAGCATTCCTCAATATACTTTTGGAAGAAACTTACACAGGTACCGCTTTAATTTAGAATACAAACTAGAAAAAAAAAAGAAAACTTTACATATTTTTTTCAGTAACTAAAGAATATAAATTTCTTTTTAAGAAAAAATTTATTTAAGTAAAAAATGGATTAAACTTTTGTAAAGGACAGAGTTTTGCTAAGAATTTCAAAGCAATGCATTCATTCATTGCAAAATGTGACTTTAATTGTTTAACCTTTTTTTTTTCTTTTTTTTGAGATGGAGTTTCGCTCTGTCACTAGGCTGGAGTGCCGTGGCACGATCTCGGCTCACTGCAACCTCCACCTCCTGGGTTCAAGCCATTTTCCTGCCTCAGCCTCCCGAGTAGCTGGGACTAGAGGCATGCACCACCACACCCAGCTAATTTTTGTATTTTTAGTAGAGATAGGGTTTCATCATGTTGGCCAGGATGGTCTCGATCTCTTGACTTTGTGATCTGCCCACATTTGCCTCCCAAAGTGCTGGGATTACAGGCATGAGCTGCTGTGCCCGGCCATTGTTTAACCTTTGTACAAATAAAACACCACCTTTCTAAAATTATGTATATCCAATAGACCAATATTATCTATTTTTGTCAGATTACTCTAAATAGCATTACACAGATACATCCTCTATTATCTAAACTTAGAATAAGTAGAAATTTTACTTTACTTAATGTGATTAATTTTCTATTTAAGCAAACTTTGTGTTATGTCTAGTCACTAAAAATACTAAGGGCCACATTTTGTAATATATTAATCTCATGATAATATTTCTTGTTTAACTTAAACATTATTATTATTATTATTTACTTATTTTAGATGGAGCTGGACCGTGTAGAACAAATAATTACAGGAACAAAGAAAAGTATGTTGCCAAAATGTATTAATTAAATTTAGGTTTATTTTAGTAATAAAGTGTAAATAGCAAATGGCATTCCTTTTCATTGTTGGGTTAGTAGATACTATATTCAGTATCTTTTTCTTACACACATCTAATGAAAGATGTGAAAACGAAAACTTTCACAGTGAAGAGTATACTTATGCATCATTAATTCATCATGTTCCATAGCTTAAAAAATTCCCAAGAAGTGGATCCATCTCTTTTTTACCAGCTCTACAATTTGTTCACTTTTGCCATCCTCATGGAACTGTCAGCCAGCACACTGAAACGATTCTCCAAAAACAAAGGCATCAGTTGGCTTACATCTGTTCTCAGGAAAAGTTCCAAAAATTTCACCATGAAATAAAAACACTCACATCAATGTAACTCTTGTCAGGTTACTCAGCCTTGTCTCTCACCACTTACTGCATTCTGCCCTTTGCTCTAGCACCAAAGTGGACAGAATAGAGCTCCGCAGGGCTCTTTGTTACCTCAGGATCTTTGCCTTCGCCTCTTCCCTCTATCTGGCAAGATTTTCCTCGTCCTTCAGTCATCAACCTATGTATCCCCTCCACCAGAAAGCCCATGATATTGACACAAAAGTGGGATAGATGTCCCTTCTGTATGTTCCAGTAGTGCCCTGCTGTATACCTGTCATGGTATCTATGACTCTATATGGACATTACCTGCCGGTCTTTTAGGTTATAGCATATGACTATTGGGAGGTGGACCATGCCATCTTCATCTTGTAATTCCAGTGCTGGCTCTAGTACCTTAGCACGTGGCTGTTGAGTACATGAATGAAGAATGAAAAAGCTGTGATATTTAACCACAATTGGAATTAACGCCATGTGTAAATGATTTAATAGTAATTTTGTATTGTAATTGCACGTACATATTTCTCATTCTTATTAACTCTGATAACGTTCTCAACTCCACATTTTAAACTTACACTTCGTTAACTGAAATGTTTTAGGTAAAGAACATAATCCTTTCTTTTTCTTTCCAGGTTTTGCTATGTTGAGCACTTGCTCCCGTCTACTTTCTTTTGTAGAATCCACTGGTAAGCCACATCTAATGAAGAGATTAACCATAAAATCTTAAGGAAAAGTTGTATGATTTAAAAGATCATAAAACTTTATTACTGGGCTATTTACATGAAATTTTAATTGTTTCTCATATAATATAAAACATCATAATCTTTACTAAAGTAGAATATTTTCATGTCACATATGGTGTATATTTATATGTTATTTTAAATGATGTTTTTTAGCCTCCTTAAGTTTTAAGTGGATCTTGCAAATGAACACCAGCGTTATTGAGTTTGGCCTACTCAAATTGCCTGAATGTCAGCTGTTTAAACAGCCAAACAACCAAGTCATCATTGATACTTTAGTAAAGGTCATCGAGGGCTTCTTTGCATTTTACAGTTTTTATTACCATATGTAGTAGGAGACTTAAAGAGTATCTGCCAGGTTTGTCCATACTAGTGTTACGGTTTTCTTCTTGTAGCTCAATAGTATTTTGTGTGGAGATACTTTGAAGCTCTGTAAATATCTGGTTACTCCTCAAAACCCACTAGATTTAGCATTTCATGGATGACTTGTGTTTGAACAAGTATTACTGTGATGGTTGCCAGATGATTGTTTTTCTTATTTTCTTCTTTGTTCTACATGGAGAAATAAAACCAATAAATAAAGGAGAAGGGAAAGCTCATGATTCTGGTGCTCCAGTTCCCCAAGATTAGGCCAGTGGTAGACATTTCAAGCTGACTTTATGTCTTTTTGAATTGTCCCCATTATTCTGTCAGCACTTTTTTACTTTCTGGCACAAGGTGTTCTAAACTAATGTATTTTCTCTGCGGCAGCACCAAGGAAGCACAGGCGAGCCCTTCCCATCATGCGCTCACTAGTCCCCAACAGAAGAACCACTGTCGCATCCACTGAGGTACCAAGAAACTAGCAAAGGGCCTTCTAGCTGTCTGGGGACAGTCCTCATGTGGTCCCTGGCTCAGCCTCAAGGGTTCTTGATTAGTCTCCCTGCAGTCTCTGTGCTGTGTCTCTAGGTCGGGGCTCTTCAGGAAGGGCCCTGGGAGACCCAGCAGCACAGGATGTCTTGTCTGCCAAATGTCCCTCCCTTCCTCCCACTCTGACACTCAGGAATAGGGAAGATGGCATGTCCAGGCAGTGCCAGGCCACCTCATTGTCTCCTTTGAGATGGGCCCAGAGGGCCTTGCGGGGTGAGTGTGAAGCTGGGTACCTGGAGCCTGAGGCTGACTCCCTCCCTGTGTCTTGGAGGAGAGGCCTTGCAGCCCAAGAAAACCCCCCAGGCCTGACCCCTGGGCACACATGCAGGGAGGGGAGGTTCTGTGAGCTGATGGTGGCATTGTAATGAGACTTTGAACACAGCTGCTCAAGGGCCTCGTCAGTGGACCATGGTCAGAGATGACCTAGCCATCACGACCTGGTCAGTTGGGACCTGATCAGCAGGGACCTGGTTAGTGGTGGCCGCCTCAGTGAAGGCCTCACCCAGTGGGTATCTTGTGACCTAGTCATTGGAAGCCTAGTCAGTGGGGACCTGGTCAGTGGTGCTCTTATTAGTGGGGCCTGATCGGTTGGAACATAAACAATAAAAAACTGGTCGGTGGGGTGTATTCAGTGTATTAGGGGTCTGGTCAGTGTGGGGCCTTAGTGGCTTGGAGCCTGGTCAGTGAGAGCCTGGTCAGAGGGGGCTCAGTCAGCTGGGGACTGATCCATGGAGAATTATTCAATGGGGGTGAGGTGAGCAGCAACCTGGTAAATTGTGGTCTTGTCAGTGCGAACCCAGTCAGTGGGGACCAGGTCAGTGGGAAATTGGTCAGTGGGGTCTGGTCCATGAGGCCTACTAATGGGGGCCTGGTTAGGGAGACATGGTCCGTGGGGACTTGGTCAGTGGGGCCTGGTCAATGGGGGAGTGCTCATTAGGGGCCTCGTTGGGGCCACCTGGTCAGTAGGAACCTGGCCAGTTAGCCGATGTGTGACCTCAGGCAGGGGGTTTGTCTGTGGAGCCTCTTTGCCTCCATCTGTAGGGAAGGTGAGTCAGGGCACCCTGGAGGGTGGCTGGAAAGAGAACGTGAGAAGATGTGTTGAATTCAGCACTGCTTGGCAGACCTCCAACTTTACACAGTACCTGGGTTCCACCTAGAAAGGGTGCCAGCCCTCTCTGCTCTGCTCGGCACCCCTCCTCTGTCTGCATCCCCAGGACCACCCTCAGTGGAGAGGGAAGAAATTGGGGAGCACCTGTGGGAGGCTCTAATCCTGGCCCTGGGCCCTGGTGGTGACAGTGATGAGGACCTGGGTGCACCTGTGAGTGGAGCAGCTAGGCCTGGCCAGAGAAGCAAGACAAACAAACACACCCATATGTACACACACACACGCATACACAAACACAATGCATGCACACATGTCAGTTCAGGGGATAGAGGACACCGACTCTGGGCCCTCTTGACCCAAGCAGGCTCCTGTTGTGGTGGGTTGTGTCACCCCACAATGTCACTCTTGCTGAGTCCCCATCGCCTCTGTGTTGTGGAGCAGTTAGAGACACGCAGCAGTCTCTGTGAGTGGCTCTGCATGAAGGATTGTTTTCTAGGTGAAAGGCACATCTCAACACAGCTGACTGATCGGACTCAGGTGAGTGGGACCTGCTCTCTTCTCTTCCTCCTGGCTTGGGGACAGTCGCTATCGGGTGGGTGGTTTTGGCCTCTGGGCAGCTACTGAGGGTAATCCCTGAGCACTCACCAGGTGCCTGTTCTGTGCTGACAGTCATCTCATTCATCCTTGCAGCAATTCCATTCTGCATCTCCTCTGGACACCCCCAGGACCACCAGGACAACCCCATCATGGCCCTGTCACCAGGCCCAGTCTCGCTCCGTGATAACCAAGATGCAGGTCCAGAGACAACCGCCCTACTTGGTTCCTGCATCTGACCCCCCTTGGTGGGTAGTGACCAGCCCAACATGGAAGAAGCCAGGGCAGCATGCAGCCAGCTGCCCTGCAGCCCCAGATGGCACCTGGGCCTTGGGAAGTCATTCTCAAAGGGGAAGCTGGAAACTTTGATGTCCCTGGAGGGAAGGGTGAACGTGGCATCCGAACAACCCTGGCAGCCAGCAGCATCTTGTCATCCAACCTGTGGGACAGAGGCCCCCTGCTGGGGAGCGAGATCCATACCTAAAGGGTCCTGGCCCAGTTGGGCCTCATCCTGGGCCCTGGGAGGGGAGGGGCACTATGGTCCCCCCAGCAGCAGTCAGCATTACCACCCAGGGGACTCAGCCTTCTGTGGCCCTGGCCAGAGTTAGAATTTGGCCCAAGACAGGACAAGCTCACTCAGAGCAGGGTGTCAGTACCCAGGACCTGTGCATGCCAGGCAAGGCCAAGCTGGCTCAAAGAGCAACCAGCCACCTCTGCAAGGGTGTGCCTGGAGCAAGTGGACCGGCCACCAACCTCACCCACTCAAGGAATCAGGGGTGGCCAGGTTCCCACAGCCTGAGGGGCTGCCACTTGACGGCTGATGGAGCAGAGGCCTGAGGAAAAGCAGATGGCACTGGGGCCCTACCT
The DNA here is from genome assembly GCF_000001405.40 of Homo sapiens. NCBI lineage: Eukaryota > Metazoa > Chordata > Mammalia > Primates > Hominidae > Homo > Homo sapiens. The sequence continues at coordinate 38,568,476 of NC_000009.12, read as the reverse complement.
CCAGGGCAGAATAACTGATTTACCCTGACTGGCAGCGAGTGAGGTTGGTGGCTGGTCCACCTGCTCCTGGCACACCCTTGCAGAGGTGGCTGGTTGCTCTTTGAGCCAGCTTGGCCTTGCCTGGCATGCACAGGCCTCAATGCAACCACTGTGCTGCAGATGGAGCCACATAGAGGAAATGAGCAGCAGGCTCAGGAGCAGGCTGTGCGCTGCCTTTGGGGCTCCAGTCCATGCATGAGGGCTCCTACAGCACTGTGGGCTTCTTGGGTGCCAAGAGGCAGACCGCAGGCCATCTTGAGAAGGACTCCATGTTCAAGTGCAGAAAGGGCCCAATCTCGTGGATGAACCACATGGCCAGCTTCTGGGTGCAGGCACAGTGCCACGTCTTCCATCACTTCGTGATGTGCCACACCAGCACTGAAGAGACAGCCTGGAGACAGGGCAAGAGGAAGGCTGCGAAGGATGAGGTGGTGAATTCCAGCTTCTTCCTGACCCTGAGCCCACCCCCAAGGTGGCCCTCAACCTTTAAGAGTGGGAGAGCAAAATTGACGGCTTCGAGCGCTTCACCAAGAAGATGGACCACAGGGCACTCAGCTCAACTTCTCAGCCAATGAGTTGACATGCAAGCAGATTATGGTGACGGGCTTTAAGAAAGAGCATCAGAAGGTGGCCAGCTCTTCAGCCTCAGCCAGGTCTTGGAGCTGGACCAGGCCATCACTTCACCAGAGATGCCTTCAACACCGTCGGTGAGCTCTTTGCCAATCAGCCCAGCCAGGAACTGGACCCAGTCATGGACCTGTTAGTGCTGTCTCTGGGACACCAGGTCATCATCCTGGACATCATCCACATACACAAGGAAGCTCTTACCAAAGTCATGGAGAGCAGGCAACATGTGGCAGAAGGGAAGACAGAGATGCAGAGGCTGATGACATCAGAATCACAGGAACAGGATTTCTTTGGACACTGTGGCTGAAATTCACCACTTCCATCCAATTCCAGTGAGAAACATGGACTCACAGATGCAGCATTTCTTGCAACAAGAGATACTATTTTTTCAAAAGGTCACCCAGGAATTGATAGTGTTGAATGACTAGATACTCGATTGTGCACTGTTTCCAGTTCAAGGATGCTTTCTACAGCAGAATAATAACACTAGCAAAGAGATAGTGCCAGGTATTGGCGGTAGTACAAGGATGGCTTTGTTCTCAATTGAAACTCGGCTGAACATAGAATTGTGTAGGAAACAGTTAATATGGCGATAGAATAGAAACAGTAGCAAACATGACCTAAACCATGCTATGAATTCCTACACTACCATTGTAACTTTTGGAAGAATGATACCACTTACTTTATTGCTTTTTGAAGTATGAATATTTTCGTGTATATGCTGTAGACCTCAAACCCTGTGAAGAGTCTCAAAGAAGCTGGCTGGATAAAGCCTGCTGTGGATGTCTTTATATTCAAAGATTGATGATGCAATTTGAATATGTGTCCTCACCAAATCTCATGTTGAATTATATTTCCTAACGTTGAAGGTGGATCCTGGTCTAAGGTGATTGAATCCTGAAGGCAAATTTCTCATGAATGGTTCAGCACCATCCCCTTGCTACTGTCCTCACAATCATGAGTGACTTCTCATGACACCTGGTCATTGAAAACTCTATGTCACCTCCCTACTCTGCATGTTTTCCTCTTGCCGTGTGAGACAACTGACTCTTTCTTTGCCTTGCACAAAGATTGAAAGATTTCTGAGGCCTCCCAGAAGCAGAAGCCCTGTGCTTCCTGTCCACCCTGCAGAACCGTGAGCCAATTAAACCTCTTTTTCATAATGAATCATACAGAAAATGGCAAATGAGGACTGGAGCATTGCTATAAAGATACCTGAAAATGTGGAAGCAGCTTTGGAACTAGGTAATGGACAGAGGTTGGAAGAGTTTGGAGGGCTCAAAAGAAGACAGATGAGAAGGTTTGGACCATCTTAGAGACTGGTTAAATGGTTGTGACCAAAATCCTGACAGAAACATGGACAGTGAAGGCCAGGCTGAGGAGGTCTCAGATAGAAATAAGAAGCTTTCTGGAAAATGTCTTCCTTTTGGATATGGAAAGCTTACACAATGCCTGTACCACCACTGTACCTTAGAAGCAGTGATCTTGCATTTTATTTCAGAGGCTTATAGGCAAAAGAGGCTGCAGCCTTGACTCAGATGAGACTTTGAACTTTGTAACTTTGAGTTAATGCTGAAATGAGTTAAGACTCATGCTGGCAAGGCATGATTGTATTTTGCAATGTGAAAAGGACAAGAGATTCATGGGATCAGGGACAGAATAATATGGTTTGTCTCTATATCCCTATCAAAACCCATGTGGAATTATACTCCCTAACGTTAGAGGTGGGGCCTAGGTGGAAAAAGATTTAGTCATAAAATGGTGCAGGTAGATCCTCCACGAATGATAAAGCACCATCCCCTTGATGCTGTCCTCCTGATAGTGAGTGAGTTTTCATGTGATCTGGTTGTTTAACAGGCTGTGGAACCTCTTTTCCTCACTCTGTCTTCCTCCTACTCCTGCCATAGGAGACAGCTCATTGTCCCTTGGCCTTCTGGTATAATTAGGAGGCTCCCTGACTCCTCCCAGAAACAAAAGACACTATGCTTCCTTCACAGCCTGCAGAACCCTGAGTCAATGAAACCTCTTTTATTTAGGATAATACAGAAAATTAGAACTGCAGAGAGGAGCTGTGAAATGCCTTCAAGGCCTTTTTCCATTTGTCTTGGCCATTAGCACAGGGCTTCTTTATATGCAAATTTCTGAAGTCTTCTTGAATGTTCCCCCTTAAATCGGGTTTTGTGTTATTACTACATAGCCAACCCGCTATAGAGATACCTGAAAAAGTAGAAGCAGGTTCAGAAGTGGGTAACAAACAAAGATTGGGAGGGTTTGCAGGGATTGGAAAATGACAAAAAGATGAGGGCCTGGTGGGAGTGATTTAATCACGGATGGGAGGCGGGTGGGGTGGAAGGAAAAAGAGGTGGGCAGGGTGGGGAGGAGTAGGCTGGTGTAGGGTGGTGGAAGGGTGGGGTGTAGTGGGAGTGGGGAGTCGCCTGCTGCAGAGGCACAGCCTCATGGACAACCTGTGTTAGGGCAGTGCACCTGTGGCTTTGCAAGTTTTAGCCCCCACGGCTGCTCTCAAGGACTGGGCTACTGTTGAGTGCCTGTAGCTTTTCCACAGTGGGGGTGCAAGCTGTTGGTGGGTCTATGAATCTGGCTCTGCCTCTGCAGCAGGCTTCTGCCTGGAAACAGTGGGAGGTGGAGGTGGGGGTTGCGGGGGCAGATCCTTCACCAGTGGTTAAGCACCATCTTCTTGATGCTGACCTTGTGATACTGAGTTCTCATGAGATCTGGTTGTATAACAGGGCGGGCTCCTCTTTCCTCTCTCAGTCTTGCTTCTACTGCTGCCACATGAAGCATTTCCTTGCCCCTTGGCCTTCTGGTATGATTGGGAGGCTTCCTGAGTCCTCCCGGAAGCAGAAGCCACTATGCTTCCTTTACAGCCTGCAGAACCGTGAGCCAATTACACCTCTTTCTTTATGATTGTACACAAAATTAGTGCTGTGAAGTGGAGCTATGAAATGCCTTCAAGGCCTTTTCCCCATTGTGTTGGTAACCAGTACTCAGCTGCTTTTCATGAAGATATCTGAAGCCTTTGTGAATTTTTCCCCTGAAAATGGACTTTTCTTCTTTTACCACATTACCAGGCTGTGACAAAGATATCTGAGAATGTAGAAGCAGGTTCAGAAGTGGGTAAAACAGAGAGGTCAGGAGAGTTGGGAATGCTTAGAAGACAGCATGATGAGGAAAAATTTGGACCACTGAAAATAATTGTTAAATACTTGTGATCAGAAGGCTGACAGAAAGATGGACAGTGAAGGCCAGAATTAAAAGGTCTCAGATGAAAATGAGGAACATCTTGTGAACAGGAGCCAAGGTTACATTTGATTGGCCTTAGCCCTGGAGATCTCTGAAACTGTGAACATGGGGGTAACGATTTAGGATGTATCTGGTGGAATGAGCATCTAGGCAGCATAGCTCAAGAGGTGTCCTCTCTACATCCAACAGCCTGTGTTCTTATGTGTGACCTAAGAAATTACCTCAAGTTGCAACTTCTATTTAAATGAGAAGTAGAGCTCAAAAATTTGAAAAATTTGCAGCCTAGCCAAGTGGTCAAAAAGGAAAGCTGATTTTCAGGGGGAAAATTCAAGAGCACTTAAAGTATTTGCATAAAAAAAGAGCCCAGTGCAAATAGCCAAGACTATGGGGAAAAGGCCTTGAAGGCATTTCAGAGACCTTTGCAGCAGCCCTTGCTGTCATAGGCCCTGGGGAAGAGGAGAGAATTGTTTCCTGGGCCAGCTCCATGGCCTGGCTGCTGTGTGCATCCTCAGGACACTGCTGCCTGTATCCCTGCAGATCCGGCTCCAGCCATGGCTGAAAGATGCACAGGTACAGCTTGGGTCACTGCTTCAGAGGTGGCTCCAAGCCTTGATGGCTTCCACATAGTGTTAAGCCAGGAGGTGCACAGAGCAAGAGACTAGAGGCTTGGGAGCCTCTGTCTAGACTCCAGAGGATGTACAGAAAAGCCTGGGTGTCCAGGCAGAAGCCTTTCCAAGAGGCAGAGCCTCATGGGAAACCTTTACTAGGGCGGGAAAGAAGGGATGTATCAGGTGGAAGCCCTCACACAGGGAGGCACCATCCTTCAAACCCCAGATTCATAGACCCACCAACAGCTTGCCCCCTCAATGTGGGAAAGCTACAGTCACTCAACACCAGCCCCGTCCATGAGGGCAGCTGCGGGGACTGATCACTGCAAACCCACAGGTGGAGATCTGCCCAAAGCCTTTGGAGCCCAGCCCTCACACTCCTGTGCCGTGGATGTGGGACAAGGATTCCAAAAGGATGACTTTGGAGCTGTAGGATTGAATGACTGGCCTACTGGGTTTTGGACGTTCATGTATCCTGTGAGTCCCATCGGTGTTTTGTTTTTGTTTCTGGCAATTTTTCTTTTGTTGGCTGGGAATGCTTACCCATTGCCTGTACAATCATTGTACCTTGGAAGTAGTTAACTTGCTTTATAATTCAGAGACTCATGGGCGGAAGGGACTGTATCCTTGTCTCAGATGAAACTTTGGGCTTTACACATTTGAGTAAATGCTGGAATGAGTTAAGATTTGGGGGACTGTAGGAGAGGCATCATTGTATTTTGCAATGTGAGAAAGACAAATTTGCAGGGGCAGGCACAGAATAATACAATCTGGCTCTGTGTCCCACTGATGTGGAACTGTAATGGGAAATGTTAAAGGTGGGGTGCAGGTGGAAGGTGATTTAATCATGGTGGAGAGTGGAGGTTGGAAGGTGGGGGTGGTGGGGCGAATTGGGGAAAATTATGGTGGGGTTGGGGGTGAAAGGCGGGTGGGGGGCAGATCCTTCACAAATGGTTAAACACTGTCTCCTTAATACTGTCCTTGTGATAGTTCTCTTCATGATTTTGTGGCGGTGAGATTGAATGAATACTGTTCTGCTGGGTTTTGGATGTGCATTGGGCCTCTGGTCCCATTTGTGTTATTTTTCTGGGAAATTTCTTCCCCTTGGATTAAGACAGCTTACCCAATACCTGTGTCATCATTGTACCTTTAAAGAAATGAACTCCATTTTAACTTCAGAGACTCATAGGCGTAAGAGACTGTAGCCTTGTCTCGGATGAGACTTTGAACTTTTTATATTTGAGTTAATGCTGGAATGAGTTAAGGATTTTGGAAACTTTTGAAAAGGCATGATTGTATTTTACCCTGTGAGAAGGACATGAGATTTGGAAGGGTCAAGTTCGGAATACTATGGTTTGGCTGTGTTTCCCTAGAAAAACTCATGTGGAAGTGTAATCCTGAATTTTGGAGGTGAAGCCTGGTGGGAGGTGATTTAATCCTGGATGGAAGGAGGGTGGGGGTGTAAGGAAAAAGGGGTGGGGAGGGTGGGGACGAGTAGGCTGGCCATAGGATGGTGGGTAGTAGGAAGGGGGAGTAGCCTGCTGCAGAGGCAGAGGCTCATGGAAAACCTCTACTAGGACAGTGCCCCTGTGGCTTTGCAGGCTTTAGCCCCGTGGCTGCTCTCATGGGCTGGGCTGTTGTTTAATGCCTGTACCTTTTCCATACTGAGAGTATGAGCTGTTGTTGGGTCTATGAATCTGGGGTCTGGAGGATGGTGGCCTCCTGCATAGGGGCTCCAAGCCCATATTTTCCTTCTGCACTGCCCTAGTAGAGGTTTTCCAAGAGGCTCTGCCTCTGCAGCAGGCTTCTGCCTGGCAACAGTGAGGGGTGGAAGTGTGTTGGGGGGTGGATCTTTCACCAATGGTTAAGCACCATCTTCTTGATGCTGACCTTGTGATACTGAGTTCTCATGAGATCTGGTTGTATAACAGGCTGTGACACCTCTTTCCTCTCTCTGTCTTGCTCCTACTCTGGCCATATGCAACATTTTATTGCTGCTTGTCCTTCTGGTATAATTGAGAGGCTTCCTGAGTCCTCCCAGAAGCAGAAGTTACTATGCTTTCTTTACAGCCTACTGCAGAACTATAAGCCAATTAAACCCCTTTTTGTTATGATCTTACAGAAAATTAGTACTGCGAATTGAAGCTATGAAATGTCTTCAATGACTTTTCCCCATCACATTGGCTATTAATACTGGTCTTCCTTTTAGTGCAAATATCTGAAGCCTTCTTGAAGTTTGCCCCTGAAAATGGACTTTTTTTCCTTCTACATTGCCAGGCTGTGACAAAGATAGCTGAAAATATAAAAGCAGGTTCAGAAGTGGCTAACAGCCAGAGGTCGGAGAGTTTGGAGGACTTGGAAGAAGACAGGAAGATGAAGGAAAGTTTGGACCATTGTAGAGACTTGTTAAATACTTGTGATTAAAATGCTGACAGAAGGAGGGACAGTGAAGGCCAGGCTTATGAGGTCTCAGATGAAAATGAGGAACTTACTGGGAACAGGAGCCAAGGTTACTTTTGTTTTGCTGTAACAAAGAACATGGCTGCAGGGTGACCTTGCCCTGGAGATCTGTGAAACTTTAAACTTGAGGTTGATGATTCAGGGTGTATCTGGTGGAATGAACATCTAGGCAGCAAATCTCAAGACGTGTCCTCCCTGTGTCAAACAGCCTGTGCCTTTATGTGTGACCGAGGAAATGACCTCAAGTTGCAACTTATATTTAAATGACAAGCAGAGCTCAAAAGTTTGGAACATTTGCAGCCTGGCCAAGTGGTCAAAACAAAAGCTGATTTTCAGAGGGAAAATTCATGATGGCTTTAAAAATTTGCATAAAATGAAGGCCAGTGCTAATAGCCAACGCAATGGGGGAGAAAGCCTTGGAGGCATTTCAGAGATGTTTGCAGTAGCCCTTGTTGTCACAGGCCCTGGGACCTAGGAGAAAAGAATGGTTTCCTGGGCCATCTCCATGGCTCTGCTGCTGTGTGCAGCCTCAGGATACTGCTGCCTGCATCCCTGCAGCTCCAGCTCCAGCCTTGTCTCAAAGACGCACAGGTACAGCTTGGGACACCGCTTCAGAAGGTGCAAGCTATAAGCCTTGGTGGCTTCCACACAGTGTTAAGCCAATGGGTGCACAGAGCACTAGTTCAGAGGCTTGAGATCCTCCATATATATTTTGGAAGATATATGAAAGTGCCTGGGTGTCCAGACAGAAGGCTGCCAAAAAGGCAGAGCCTCATGGGAAACCTCTACTAGGGCAGTGCAGAAGGAAAATATGGGGTTGGAGCCCCCACACTGGAGGCCACCATCATGAAGACCCCAGATTCATAGACCCACCAAGAGCTTTGCACCCTCCATGGGTTAGAAACCCCAGGCACTCAACACCAGCACAGCCCATGAGGGCAGCTGCACAGGCTGAACACTGCAAAGCCACAGGTGAGCTGCCCAAGGCCTTGGGAGCCCAGCCCTCACGCCCTTGTGCCCTGGATGTGGGACAAGGATTAAAAAAGGATGACTTTGGAGCTGTGGGTTTGAATAACTGGCCTGCTGGGTTTTGGACTTTTCATGGAGCCTGTAAGTCCCATTTATGTTTTGTTCTCTCAGGCAAAAATCTTCCTTTTGGCTGGGAACTCAATGCCTGGACAATCATTGTACCTTGGAAGTAGTTAACTTGTTTGTATTTCAGAGGCTCAGGGGCAGAAGAGACTGCCTTTTCTCAGATGAGACATTGGGCTTTGGACATTTGAGTAAATGCTGGAATGAGTTAAGACCTTGTGGGACTGTAGGTAAGGCATCATTGTATTTTGCAAAGTGAGAAGTACATGAGATTGGGGGAGGCAGGGACAGAATAAGATTTGGCTGTGTGTCCCTACAGAAACTCATTTGGAATTGTAATTGGAAACGTTAAAAGTGGGGCCAGGTGGAAGATGATTTAATCATGGAGGACAGTGGGGGTTGGAAGGTGGGGATTGGGGAGGATGGGGGGATTATGGTGGGGGTGAGGGGTGAAAGGTGGGTGTTGGGGAGGATCCCTCACAAATGGTTAAACACCGTCTCCTTAATGCTTTCCTCATGATGGTGAGTTCTCGTGATGATTCTGGAGCTGTAAGATTGAATAGATACTGTCCTGCTTGGTTTTGGACTTGTACTGGGCCTGTGATCCCATTTGTGTTACTTTCCTGACAAATATCTTCCCTTTGGATTGAGAAAATTTACCCAATGCCTGTACCATCATCGTACCTTGAAAAAAAGACCTCCCTTTGAAATTCAGGGACTCATAGGCAAAAGGGACTGTAGACTTTTCTCAGATGAGATGTTGAACCTTTTACATTTGTGTTAACGCTGGAATGAGTTAAGGCTTTTGGCAACTTTTGAAAAGGCAAGATTGTATTTTACTCGCTGAGAAGGATATGATATTCGGGGGATCAGGGTCAGAATAATATGGTTTGGCTGTGTGTCTCTACCAAAACACATGGGAAATTGTAATTCCAAATGTTGCAGGTGTGGCCTGGTGGGAGGTGATTTATTCCTGTACTTGAGAGGGGTGGAGTTGGAAGTAAACAGAAGTGGGTAACGTTGGAGGAGTAGGTTGGCTGTAGGGTGGTGTGAGGGTGGTGGGTAGTAGGAAGTGGGAGTAGCCTGCTACAGAGGCAGAGGCTCATGGAAAACCTCTACTAGGGCAGTGCACCTGTGGCTTTGCAGGCTTTAGCCCCCATGGCTGCTCTCATGGACTGGGCTGGTGTTGAGTGCCTGTAGCTTTTCCATACTGAGGGTGGGAGCTTTTGGTGGGTCTATGACTCTAGGGTCTGGAGGATGGTGGTATCCCGCGTGGGGGCTCCAAACCCATATTTTCCTTCTGCACTGCCCTAGTAGAGGTTTTCCAAGAGGCTCTGCCTCTGCCTCAGACTTCTGCTTGGAAACACTGGGGGGTGGATGTGGGGTATTGGGTGGATCCTTCACCAATAGTTAAGCACCATCTTCTTGATGCTGATCTCCTGATACTGAGTTCTCTTGAGATCTGGTTGTATGACAGGATGTGGCATCTTTCCTCTGTCTTGCTTCTACTCCTGGAATATGAAACATTTCATTGCTGCTTGGCCTTCTGGTATAAATGGGAGGCTTCCTGAGTCCTCCTGAAAGCAGAAACCACTATGCTTTCCTTACAGCCTCCAGAACTGTGAGTCAATTCAACCTCTTTTCTTTATGTACATGCAGAAAATCAATGCTGTGAAGTGAAGCTATGAAATGCCTTCAAGGCCTTTTCCCCAATCTTTTGGCTGGTAGCACTGGGCTTCTTTGATGCTAATATCTGAAGCCTTCTTGAAGTTTTCCCCAGATAATGGACTTTTCTTCTTTTACCACATTGCCAGGCTGCGACAAAGATAGCTGAAAATGTAGAAGCAGGTTCGGAATTCGGTAATGGCCAGAGGTTAGAGCGTTTGGAGAGCTTGGAAGAAGACAGGAAGATGAGGGAAAGTTTGGACCATTGTAATGACTTGTTAGTTGTGATTAAAAGGCTGACAGAAGGATGGACAGTGAAGGCCAGGCTTAGAAGCTCTCAGATGAAAATGAGAAACTTACTGGGAACAGGGGCCAAGGTTTTGTTCTTTTGCCTTAGCAAAGAATTTGGCTGCACAGTGTCCCTGCTCCGGAGATCTGGGAAACTTTGAACTTGAGGGTGAAGATTTAGGGTCTATCTGGTGGAATGAACTTCTAAGCAGCAAAGCTCAAGAGTTGTCCTGCCTACGTCGAACAGCCTGTGGTATTATGTGTGACCAAAGAAATGACCTTGAGTTGAAACTTATATTTAAATGAGAAGCAGAGCTTAATCCTTTGGAAAATTTGCAACATGGCAAAGTGGTCAAAAAGAAAAGCTGAATTTCAGGGAGAAAATTCCAGAAGCCTTTGGATATTTGCATAAAAAAGGAGCCCAGTGCTAATAATTCAAGACAATGGGAAAAAAGGCCTCGAAGACATTTCAAAGACCTTTGTAGCAGCCCTTGTTGTCACTGGCCCTGGGGCTTAGGAAAAAAGAATGTTTTTTCTGGGCCAGCCCTATGGCCCCACTACTATGTGCAGCCTCAGGACACTGCTGCCTGCACCCCTACACCTTCATCTCCAGCTCCAGCCATGGCTGAAAGATGCACAGGCACAGCTTGGGTCACTGCTTCAGGGGTGCAAGCTCCAAGCCTTTGTGGCTTCCACATAGTGTTAAGCCAGCAGGTACACACAGCACAAAACTAGAGGCTTTGGAGCCTTTGTCTAGACTCCAGAGCATGTATGGGAAAGCCTGGGTGTCCAGGCAGAAGCTTTTCCAACAGGCAGAGCCTCATGGTAAACCTCTACTCGGGCATTGCAGAACAAGCATATAGGGTTGGAGCCCCCATACAGGGAGGCGCCATTTTCCAGACCCCAGATTCATAGACCCACCAACAGCTTGCACTCTTAGTGTTGAAAAGCTATTGGCACTCAACAGCAGCCCAGCCATTGAGGGCAGCTTTGGGGAAAGACCCTGCCATGCCACAGGTGCTGAGCTGCCCAAAGCCTTGGGAGCCCAGCCATCTCACCACCCTGTGCTCTGGATGTGAGATGTAGTTTCAAAAAAGATTATTTGGAGCTGTAGGATAGAATGAATGGCCTGCTAGGTTTTTGACTTGCATGGAGTCTGTAAGTCCCATCTGTGTTTTGCACTTCTTTCTGGCAAATTTCTTCTTTTTGTCTGGGAATGCTTACCCAATGCCTGGACAAGCATTATACCTTGGAAGTAGTTAACTTGCTTTGTATTTCAGAGGCTCAGGGATAGAAGGGACTGTAGCCTTGTCTCAGATGAGACTTTGGGCTTTGGACATTTGAGTAAATGCTGGGATGAGTTAAGACTTTGGGGGGCTGTAGAGAAGGCATCATTGTATCTTGCAGTGTGAGAGGGACATGAGATTTGGGGGGCCAGGGGCAGAATAATATGATTTGGCTCTGTGCCTCTACCAAAACTCATGTGTAATTGTAATGGGGAATGTTAAAGCTGGGGCTTGGTGGAAGGTGATTTATTCATGGTGGACAGTGGGGGTTGGAAGTGTGGGTGTGAGAAGAATGGGGGTTCATGGTGGGGGTGGTCGTGAAACATGGAGACCGGGGCAGATCCTTCACAAATGGTTAAACACTATCTCCTTAATCCTGTCTGTGTGATAGTGAGTTCTCATGATAAATGAATACTCTCCTGCTGGCTTCTGGGCTTGCACTGGGCCTGTGTCCCAATTGTGTTATTTTTCTGGGAAAATCTTCCCTTTGGATTGAGAAAGCTTACCCATCACTGTAACTTGAAAGAAAAGAACTCCCGTTTCCCTTCAGAGACTCATAGGCAGAAGGGACTGCAGCATTGTCCTGGATGAAACTTGAACTTATTACATTTGAGTTACTGCTGGAATGAGTTAAGACTTTTGGAAACTTTTCAAAAGGCACGTTTGTATTTTGCTCTGTGAGAAGGACATGAGATTAGGGGGTCTCAGGGTCAGAATAAAATGGTTTGGCTGTGTTTACCTACAAAAACTCATGGGGAATTGTGCTCCCGAATGTTGGAAGTGCAGCCTGGTGGGAGGTGATTGAACCATAAATGGGAGATTGGTGGGGGTGGAAGGAAAAACAAGTGTGTAGGGTCGGGAGGTGTAGGCTGGCAGTAGGGTGGTGGGAGGGTGGTGGGTAGTAGGAAGGGGGAGTAGCCTCCTGCAGAGGCAGAGGCTCATGGAAAACCTCTACCAGGGCAGTGCACCTGTGGCTTTGCAGGATTTAGCCCCATGGCTGCTCTCATGGGCTGGTCTGTTCTTGTGTGCCTGTAGCTTTTCCACACTGAGAATGTGAGGTGTTGGTGGGTCTATGAATCTGGGATCTGGAGGATGGTGGCCTCCTGCATGGGGGCTCCAAGCCCATATTTTCCTTCTGCACTGCCCTCGTAAGTTTTTGCAAGAGGCTCTGCCTCTGCAACAGGCTTCTGCCTGGAAACAGTGGGGGGTGGGGTGGTGGTAGGGGGTGGATCTTTCACCAATGGTTAAACACCATCTTCTTGATGCTGACCTTGTGATACTGAGTTCCAATGAGATCTCATTGTATAACAGTGTGGAACCTTCTCCTTTCTCTGTCTTGCTCCTACTTCTGCCATATAAAATAGCCCATTGCTGCTTGGTCTTCTGGTATGATTGGGAGGCTTCATGATTCCTCCTAGGAGCAGGAGCCTCTATGATTCCTTTAAAGCCTGCAGAGCCATGAGCCAGTTCAACATCTTTTCTTTATGATCTTACAGAAAATTAGTGCTCTGAAGTGGAGGTATGAAATGCCTTCAAGGTCTTTTCCTTCTTGTCTTGGTAATCAGCTCTCAGCTTCTTTTCATGCAAATATCTGTAGCCTGCATGAATTTTCCCCCTGTGAATGGACTTTTCTTCTTTTACCACACTGACAGGCTGCAACAAAGAGAGCTGAAAATGTAGAAGCAGGTTGAGAATTGTCTAACAGCCAGAGGTTGGAGAGTTTGGAGGACTTGGAAGAAGACAGGAAGATGAGGGAAAGTCTGGACCATTGTAGAGACTTGTTAAATAGTTATAATTAAAAGGGTGACAGAAGGATGGACAGTAAAGGCCAGGCTTAGAAGGTCTCAGATGAAAATGAGGAGTTTACTGGGAACAGGAGCCAAGGTTACATTTGTTTTGCTTTAGCAAAGAATGTCACTGCATGATGCCCCTAACCTGGAGATCTGTGAAACTTTGAACTTGAGGGTGATGTTTCGGGTGTATCCGGCAGAATGAACTTTTGGCAGCAAAGCTCAAGAGGTGTCCTGTCTGTGTCCTGGTCTTCTATGTGACCAAATAAATGACCTCAGTTAGAAACATATTTAAATGAGAAGCAGAGCTTAAAAGTTTGAAAAATTTGCAGCCTGGTCAAGTGGTCAAAAAGAAAACCTGATTTTCAGTGGGAAAATTCAAGACAGCTTCAGAAGCTTGCATAAAATGGAGCCCAGTGCTAATAGCCAAGACAACAGGGAAAAGGCCTTGAAGGCATTTCAGAGACCTTTGCAGCAGCCCTTGCTGTACAGGCCCTGAAGCCTAGGACAGAAGAATGGTTTTCTAGGACAGAATGGTTTCCTGGCCCAGCCCCATGGTCCCCTGCTGTGTGTAGCCTCAGGACAATGCTGCCTACATCCCTGTAGCTCCTGCTGCAGCCATGGCTGAAAGATGCACAGGTACAGCTTGGGTCACTACTTCAGGGGTGCAAGCTCCAAGCCTTGGTGGCTTCCACATAGTGTTAAGTCAGCAGGTACACAGAGCACAAGACGAGAAACTTCGGAGTCTTCATCTTCTAGACTCCAGAGTATGTATGGAAAATCCTGGGTTTCCAGGTGAAGCTTTTCCAACAGACAGAGCCTCGTGGTAAACCTCTACAAGGATGGTATAGAAGGAACATATACGGTGGGAGCCCCCACACTGGGAGGCACCATTCTCCAGACCCCAGATTCATAGACCCACCAACAGCTTGCACCCTTAGTGTTGAAAAGCTACTGGCACTCAACAGCAGCCCAGCCCATGAGGGCAGCTTTGGGGAAAGACCTTGCCATACCACAGGTGCTGAGCTGCCCAAGGCTTTGGGAGACCAGCCATTAAACCACCCTCTTCTCTGGATGTGGGATGTAGATTCAAAAAATATGACTTGGAGCTCTACGATGGAATGACTGGCCTGCTGGGTTTTTGACTTGCATGGGGTCTGTAAGTCCCATCTGTGTTTTGTGCTTCTTTCTGGCAAATTTCTTCCTTTTGGCTGGGACTGCTTACCCAATGCCTGGACAAGCATTGTACCTTGAAAGTAGTTAACTTGCTTTGTATTTCAGAGGCTCAGGGATAGAAGGGACTGCAGCCTTGTCTCAGATGAGACTTTGGGCTTTGGACATTTGAGTAAATGCTGGAATGAGTTAAGACTTCGGGGGACTGTAGAGAAGACATCACTGTATTTTGCAAAGTGAAAGTAACATGAGATTTGGAAGGCCAGGGGCAGAACTATATGATTTGTCTCTGTGCCCCAACCAAAACTCATGTAGAATTGTGATGGGGAATGTTAAAAGTGGTGCTTGGTAGATGGTGATTTAATCACAGCGGACAGTTGGGATTGGAAGTGAGGGTGTGGTAAGTTTGGGGGGTTTATGCTGGGGGTGGGGGTGAAAGATGGGGCTGGGGGGGCAGATCTTTCACAAATGGTTAAACAGTATCTCCTTAATGCTGTCTGTGTGAAAGTGAGTTCTCGTGATGAATGCGTACATACTCTCCTGGCTTTTGGGCTTGCATTGGACCTGTGTCCCAATTGTGTTATTTTTCTGGAAAATTTCTTCCCATTGGACTGAGAAAGCTTACCCAATGCCTGTACCATCATTGTATCGTGAAAGAGAAGCACTCCCTTTTACATTCAGGGACTCAGAAGCAGAAGGGACTGCAGCCTCGTGTTGTTTGAGACTTTAATCTTTTTTATATTTGAGTTACTGCTGGAATGAGTTAAGACTTTTGGAAACTTCTGAAAAGGCTTGTTTGTATTTTACTCTGTGAGAAGGACATGAGATTCAGGGGTGTCAGGGTCAGAGTAATATGGTTTGGTGGTGTTTTCCTACAAAAGATCATGGGAAATTGTATTCCTGAACGTTGGAGGTGGGGCCTGGTGGGAGGTGATTGAATCATGGATGGGAGGGGGTTGCGGGTAGAAGGAAAAAGAAGTGGGTAGGGTGGGGAGGAGTAGGTTGGCAGTAAGCTGGTGAGAGGGTGGTGGGTGGTAGGATGTGGGAGTAGCCTCCTGCAGAGGCAGAGCCTCATGGAAAACCTCTACTAGGGCGGTGCACCTGTGGCTTTGCAGGGTTTAGTACCTTGGCGGCTCTCATGGGTTGGGCTGGTGTTGAGTGCCTGTAGCTTTTCCATACTGAGGGTGCGAGCTGTTGGTGGGTCTATAAATCTGGGGTCTGGAGGATGGTAACCTCCTGTGTGGGGGCTCCAAACCCATATTTTCCTTCTGCACTGCCCTAGTAGAGGTTTTCCAAGAGGCTCTGGCTCTGCAACAGGCTTCTACCTGGAAACAGTGGTGGGGTGGGGGTGTTGGGGGGGACAGATCTTTCAACAATGATTAAGCATCATCTTCTTGATGCTGATTTTGTCATAGTGAGTTGTCATGAGATCTGGTTGTATAACAGGGTGTGATACCTCTTTCCTCCTTCTGTCTTGCTCCTACTTCTACCATATGAAACATCCCATTGCCGCTTGGTCTTCTGGTATGATTGGGAGGCTTCCCGATTCCTCCCAGAAGCAGAGGCCTCTATGATTCCTTTAAAGCCTGCAGAACCATGAGCCAGTTCAACATCTTTTCTTTATGATCTTACAGAAAATTAGTGCTTGGAAGTGGAGCTATGAAATGCCTTCAAAGCCTTTTTCTTATTGCCTTGGCAATCAGCACTCAGCTTCTCTTCATGCAGATATCGGATCCCTTTGTGAATTTTTCCCCTGAAAATGGGCATTTCTTCTTTTTACTGCATTGATAGGCTGCAATAAGGATGGATGAAAATGTAAAAGCAGGATCACAAGAGGGTAACAGCCAGAGGTTGGAAAGTTTGGAGGCCTTGGAAGAAGTCAGGAAGATGAAGGGAAGTTTTGACCATTGTAGAGACTTGTTAAATAGTTATAATTAAAAGGGTGACAGAAGGATGGACAGTGAAGGCCAGGCTTACAAGGTCTCAGATGAAAATGAGGAATTTACTGAAAAGAGGAGCCAAGGTTACTTTGGTTTTGCCTTAGCAAAGAACGTCGCTGCATGATGCCCCTAACCTGGAGACCTATGAAACTTTGAACTTGAGGGTGATGATTTAGGGTGTATCTAAATCATAGGCATGAACTTTTGGCAGCAAAGCTCAAGAGGTATCCTGTCTGTGTCCAAAAGCCTGTGGTCTTCGGTGTGACCAAATAAATGACCTCAAGTAGAAACTTATATTTAAACGAGAAGCAGAACTTAAAAGTTTGGAAAATTTGCAGCCTGGCCAAGTGGTCAAAAAGAAAACCTGATTTTCAGTGGGAAAATCTAAGAGAGCTTTAGAAATTTGTATAAAATGGAGTCCAGTGCTAATAGCCAAGACAATGGGAAAAAGGCCTTGAAGGCATTTCAGAGACCTTTGCAGCAGCCCTTGCTGTCACAGGCCCTAAGGCCTGAGAGAGAAGAATGTTCTCCTGGGCCAGCTGCAAGGCTCCACTGCTGTGCTCAGCCACAGCACACTGCTGCCTGCATCCCTGCAGCTCCAGCTCCAGCCATGGCTGAAAGATGCACAGGCACAGCTTGGGTCACTGCTTCAGGGGTACAAGATGCAAGCCTTGGTGGCTTCTACATAGTGTTAAGCCAGCAGGTGCACAGAGCAAAAGAGGAGAGCCTTGGGAGCCTTCGTCTAGACTCCAGAGCATGTACAGAAAAACCTGGGTTTCCAGGCAGAAGCTTTTCCAAGAGGCAGACCCTCATGGGAAAGCTTTTCTAGGGCATTACAGAAGGAACATATAGAGTTGGAACCCCCACACATGGAGGCACCATTCTGCAAACCCAGATTCATAGACCTACCAACAGCTTGCACCCTCAGTGTGGAAAGCTACAAGTGCTCAACACTAGCCCAGCCCATGAGGGCAGCTGTGGGGGAAAGACCCTGCAAAGCCACAGGTGCAGAGCTACCCAAGGCCTTGGGAGCCCAGCCATCACACCCCTGTGTTCTGGATGTGGGATTTGGATTGAAAAGTGATGATTTGGAGCTGTACAATGGAATGACTGGCCTGCTGGGTTTTTGACTTGCATCGGATCTGTAAGTCTCATCTATATTTTGTGCTTCTTTCTGGCAAAGTTTTTTCTTTTGGCTGGGAATTCATACCCAATGCCTGTACAATCATTGTACCTTGAAAGTAATTAACTTACTTTGTATTTCAGAGGCTCAGAGGCAGAAGGGACTGCAGCCTTGTGTCAGATAAGACTTTGGGCTTTGGATACTTCAGTAAAGGCTGGAATGACTTAAGACTTTGGGGGACTGTAGAGAAGGCATCATTGTATTTTGCAGTGTGTCAAAGATATGAGATTTGGGGGAACTAGGGTCAGAATAATACGATTTGGTTCTGTGTCCCTACCGATACTCATGTGGAATTGTAATGGGGAATGTGAAAGTTGGGACCTGGTGGAAGGTGATTTAATCATGGTGAAGCATGGGGGTTGGAGGTACGGGTGTGGGGAGAATGGTGGAGATTATTTTGGGAGTGGGGTCAAAAGATGAGGATGGGGGGTGGATCCTTCCCAAATGGTTAAACACTATCTCCTTAATGCTGTCTGCATGATAGTGAGTTCTCTTGATGATTATGGAGCTTTAAGATTGAGTGAATACTGTCCTCCTGGGCTTGGACTTGCATTTGTGTTATTTTTCTGGGAAATTTATTCCCTTTGGATTGAGAAATCTTACCCAATGCCTGTACTATCATTGCACCTTGAAAGAAAAGAAATCCCTTTTGAATTCAGGGACTCATAGGCAGAAGAGAAGGTAGCCTTGTCTCAGATGAGACTTTGAAGTTTTTACATTTGGAATGAGTTAAGACTTCTGGAAAATTTTGAAAAGGCATGATTGTATTTTGCTCTGTGAGAAAAACATGAGATTCTGGGGTATCAGGGTCAGAATAATATGGTTTGGCTGTGTGTCCCTGTGAAACTCATGTGGAATTGTAATCCCAAATGCTGAAGGTGGGGCCTAGGGGAGGGGATTTAATCATGGATGGGAGGGAGTTGGGGGTGGAAGGAGAAAGGGTGGGTAGGGTGGGGAGGAATGGGTTGGCTGTAGGGTGATGGGAGGGTGGTGGGTAGTAGGAAGGGGGAGTAACCTGCTGCAGAGGCAGTGGTTCATGGAAAACCTCTACTAGGACAGTGCACCTGTGACTTTACAGGGTTTAGCCCCTGTGGCTGCTCTCATGGGGTGGGCTGGTGTTGACTACCCATACCTTTTTCAAACTGAGGCTGTGAGCTGTTGGTGGGTCTATGGATCTGGGGTCTGGAGGTTGGTGGCCATCTGCGTGGGGGCTCCAAGCCCATATTTTCCTTCCACATTTCCCTAGTAGAGGTTTTCCAAGAGGATCTGCCTCTGCATCAGGCTTCTGCCTGGAAACAGTGGGAGTTGGGGGTGGGGGGCAAATCCTTCACCAATGGTTAAACACCATCTTTTTGATGCTGACCTTGTGAGTTCTCATGAGATCTGCTTGTATAATAGGGCATGGCACCTCTTTCCTCTCTCTGTCTTTCTCCTACTCCTGCCACGTGAATCATCTCATTGCCCCTTGACATTCTGGTATGATTGGGAGGCTTCCTGAGTCCTCCCAGATTCAGAAGCCAGTATGTTTCCTTACAGCCTGCAGAATCATGAGGTTCTTTATGATCATAGAGAAAATTAGTACTGGGAAGTGGATGTATGAAATGTCTTCAAGGCCTTTTCCCTATTGTCTTGGGAGTCAGTACTCAGCTTCTTTTCATTCAAGTATCTGAGGGCTTCTTGAATTTTCTCCCTGAAAATGGACTTGTCTTCCTTTACCACATTGCCAGGCTGTGACAAAGATAGCTGATAATGTAGAAGCAGGTTCAGAAGGGGGTGGCAGACAGAGATCAGGAGAGTTTGGAGGGCTTCGAAGACAGGAAAATGAAGAAAAGTTTGGATCTTTGTAAAGAATTGTTAACTACTTGTGATCAGAAGGCTGACAGGAAAATGGCCAGTGAAAACCAGACTTGGAAGGTCTCAGATAAAAATGAGGAACTTCCTGGGAACAGAAGCCAAGGTTACTTTTATTTTGCTGTAGCAAAGAACATGGCTGCATGGTGACCCTGCCCTGGAGATCTGTGAAACTTTAAACTTGAGGTTGATGATGCAGTGCATATCTGGTGGAATGAACTTCTAGGAAGCAAAGCTCAAGAGGTGTCCTGTCTGCATTGAACAGCCTGTGCTCTGATGTGTGACTGAGAAAATGACCTCTGGATGGGACTTATATTAAATGAGTCCCAACTCTTATGTTAAATGAGAAACAGGACTCAAAAGTTTGGAAAATTTGCAGCCTGGCCAAGTGGTCAAAAAGAAAAGCTGATTTTCAGGGGGAAAATTCAGGAAGGCTTCAGAAACTTGCATGAAAAGGAGCCCAGTGCTAATAGCCAAGACAATAGGGAAAAGCCCTTGACGGCATTTCGGAGACCTTTGCAGCAGCCCTTGCTATCACAGGCCCTGGGCCCTAGGAGAGAAGCATGGTTTCCTGGGCCAGTCCTGTGACCCCGCTCTATGTGCAGCCTCAGGGCACTGCTGCCTGCGTCCCTGCAGCTCCAGCTCCAGCCATGGCTGAAAATGCACAGATGCAGCTTGGGTCACTGCTTCAGAGGGTGCAAGCTAGAAGCCTTGGTAACTTCCTCATAGTGTTAAGCCACTAGGTGGATGGATCATGAGACTAGAGGCTTGGGAGCCTTTTTGTAGACTTTGGAAGATGTATGGAAATGCCTGGGTGACCAGACAAAAGCATCCCAAAAATGCAGAGCCTCATAAGAAACTTCTACTAGGGCAGTGCAGAAGGAAAATATGGGGTTGGAGCCCCCACACTGGAGGCCACCGTCATGCAGACCCCAGATTCATAGACCCACCAACAGCTTGTACCATCAGTCAGGAAAAGCTGTAGGCACTCAACACCCGCCCAGTCCATGGGGGCAGCTGTGGGGCATAAACCCTGCAAAGCCACAGGTGCAGGGCTGCCCAAGGCCTTCAGAGCCCAGCCCTCATGTCCCTGTGCCCTGGATGTGGGACAACGTTTCAAAAAGGGTGATTTTGGAACTGTAGGATTGAATGACTGGCCTTCTGGGTTTGGAGTTTCATGGGGCCTGTAAGTCCTCTATGTGTTTTGCTCTTTCTGGCAAAATTTTTCCTTTCAGTTGAGAATGCTTACCCATTGCCTGCACAAGCATTGTAGCTTGGCAGCAGTTAACTTGCTTTATAGTTCAGAGGCTTATGTGCCTAAGGGACTGTATAGCCTTGTGTCAGATGAGACTTTAAGCTTTGGACATTTGTATAAATGCTGGAATGATACAAGATTTGGGGGGACTGTAGGGAAGGCATCATTGTATTTTGCAATGTGAGAAGGACATGAGATTTGGGAGCCAGGGACAGAATAATAAAGTTAAAGGTGGGGCCTGGTGGAGGGTGATTTAATCATGGTGGAGAGTGTGGGTTGGAAGGTGGGGGGTAGGGAGAATGAGGGGATTATGGTGGGGGTGAGGGGTGAAAAGTGGTGGTGGGAGGTGGATCCTTCACAAATGATTAAACACCATCTCCTTATTGCTGTGCTTATGCTAGTGAGTTCTCTTCGTGATTTTGGAGCTGTGAGATTGAATGGATACTGGCCTCCTGGGTTTTGGACTTGCATTGGGTGTGTGGTTCTATTTGTGGTTTTTTCCTGGGAAATTTCTTCCCTTTGAATTGAGAAAGCTTACCCAATGCCTGTACCATCATTGTACCCTGAAAGAAAAGAACATCCTTTTAAATTCAGGGACTCATAGGTGCAAGGGACTGTAGACTTGTCTCAGATGAGATGTTGAACTTTTTACATTTGAGTTAATGCTGGAATGAGTTAAGACTTTTGGAAACTTTTGACAAGGCATGAATGTATTTTGCTCTGTGAGAAGGACATGAGATTCTGGGGTACCAGGGTCAGAATAATATGGTTTGGCTGTGTTTCTTTACCAAAACTCCTGTGGAATGTACTCCTTAATGTTGGAGGTGGGGCCTGGTGGGAGGTGATGTAATCATGGCAGGAGGGGTTTGGGGTTGGAAGGAAAAGGGGTGGGTAGGGTGGGAAGTAGGTTGGCAGTAGGGTGGTGGGAGGGTGGTGGGTAGTAGGAAGGGGGAGTAGTCTGCTTCAGAGGCAGAGGCTCATGGGAAACCTCTGCTAGGGCAGTGCACCTGCAGCTTTGCAGGCTTCAGCCCCCATGTCTGCTCTCATGGGCTAGGCTGGTGTGGAGTGCCTGTAGCTTTTCCATACTGAGGATGTGAACTGTTGGTGGGCTTATGAATCTGGGGTCTGGAGGATGGTGACCTCCTGTGTCGGGGCTCCAAGCCCATGTTTCCCTTCTGCACTGCCATGGTAGAAGTTTCCCAAGAGGCTCTGCCTCTGCAGGAGGCTTCTGCCTGCAAACAGTGGGTGGTGGTGTGGGTGGTGTTTCCTTCACCAGTGGTTAATCTTCTTGATGCTGATCTCCTGATAGTGAGTTCTCATGAGATCTGGTTGTATAACAGGATGTGGCACCTCCTTTCTCTCTCTGTCTTGCTCCTACTCCTGCCATATGAAATATCTCATTGTCGCTTGTCCTTCTGGTATGGTTATGAGGGCCCTGATCAGTGTGGGCCTCATCAGTGGACCTAGTCAGCTGGGACTTGGTCAGTGAGGCCTATTTATTGGGGGGTGTGGTCAGCAGGGGTCTGCTTAGAGAGGGTCTCATTAGGGGGATCTAGTAGTGGGGTCTTGGTGAGTGGGGACCTAGTGGCAGCCACTTGTTTGGTGTCTGGTCAGTGTAAAACTAGGCTGCAGGACTTTGTCAATGGAGACCTGGTCAGCTGGGGCTTAGTGGTGGCCTTGTCAGCATGGGCCGGGTCACTGGTGACCAGCTCAAGGGGTGCTATTCATTGGAGGCCTGGTCACATGGGACCCAGTCAGCAGGGCCTGCTGGCCATGTCCTCATCAGTGAGGCCCTTGTCAGTGGGGCCCTGGTCAGCGCAGCCTGGTCAGTGGAACCTAATCAGTGGCGGCCTGTTCAGAGAGAGCGCATTCAGTGGTGGCTCTTGTAGCAGTGGTCTGTGGGGTGACCTGGTCAGCAGGGATCTGAGCAGTGGGTGCCTATTCAGTGGGGCCTACTCACTAGGGTCACAGTCAGGGGCATCTTGTCACCTATGGCCTGGTTAATAGGGGCCTGGTCAGTGGCAGCCTGTTCCCTGGAGGCCTGGTCAGTGGGGCCTCATCTATGGTGCCAGGCAATGGGGTCATGATCAGTGGAACCTGGTCAGTGAGGCCCTGGTCAGTAAGAACCTGGTCAGTGAGGCCCTGGTCAGTAAGGTCCTGGTCAGTGGGGTCCTGGACACTGTTGGCCTAGCAGCAAGGGCCTGGTTAGTGGGGCCTGGTCATGGGGTTCTAATCAGTGAGAGTGTGGTCAGGGAGGACCTGATGTGTGGGATATGGCCAGCAGGGACCTGGACCTGGTCAGCAGGGGCTGCTGAGCACTGCTGGGAGATGTCAGGTGCAATGCACGTTATTGAGGGCCCTGTGGACAGTTGGGATGGCCCAGTAGTGCCCAAAGACCCAGTCAAAACTGGACAAAGCAGGTGTTTCGATGGACCTGGGAGATCTTGCTCAGAGATTCCAACAGGACAAAGGGAAAGGAAGGGCCACAGTGGCCAGATAGATGGTCACAGTCTATGGGCTGCACAGGATGGAGGAAGCCAGGGAACAGGCAGGGTGGGCAGCAGGGTGCAGGGAGAGGCAGGTGCATGCTGGGAGGTCAGACCCTGTGAGGGCTGTGGGGGCATCAGGCGCAGTGGGCTCCAGGTGCACCCTCAATGCACTGGGCAGGTCTCAGGCCAGGCTCCCTGGACCCCGGCTGGGTGATGTGGTCACTCCCTGGGGGACTGCTGTCAGGCACCGGGCACCCACCATGGGCAGCACTGTCCCATCTCAGGACTGGACTTTCTCAGATCCTGCAGAGGGCACAGCCTCCAGCCCAGGAGGGGCAGCCCCATGGTGCAGCTGGAGCTCTCCATTGGCCTGGAGTGTCCCCTGCCAGCCCTGTACTCCCTCTTCTCCTGGGTCCCGCTTTTGCAGTGTCAGGAAGCAGAGGGGCTCCGTCCTCCCTTCCCTATGTGTCTCCTGGGCTGAAGCTTGCAGTGGACTGGGACAGGGATGGTGCTTCCCTCAGGCCCATTTAGGGAGGGGACTGGCTCCCAGCCTTGGCACAGGTCCTCAGCTCTGCCTTGGTTGCCTCAGAGTGAGCAGGATCAGTCAGTGCCCTGAAGGTAGAGCTAAGAGACTGTCCTTGCTGTGTGGGAGGCTGGTCTAGGGATGGAGGACTTAACGGGTCCTCCCAGTCTGTCAGGCCTGGACAGTACTGTCCTGTCTCAGACTGCAGAAATTCCAGTCCTGAGATAGGACGGTGCTGCCCAGGGTGGGTGGCCAGGGCCTGACAGCAGTCCCCCAGGGAGTGACCACATCACCCAGCCGGGGTCCAGGGAGCCTGGCCTGAGACCTGCCCAGTGCATTGAGGGTGCACCTGGAGCCCACTCCGCCTGATGCCCCCACAGCCCTCGCAGGGTCTGACCTCCCAGCATGCACCTGCCCCTCCCTGCACCCCAGATGTCCACCCTACCTGTTCCCTGACTTCCTCCATCCTGTCCAGCAGGATGGGCTGGACAGTGGGACAGCCTGTGTGCACATTTTGTGGCAAGTAGGAGTGACACACCATCCCTGGGAGGCACCATGGTTCCTGCCAAACCCAACCCCAGAACTCTGTCCCTGAGGTGGTTTTACCAAAACCCAAAACCCAGAATTGTGCTTGTGGCTCAGGGGTCAGCACCTGCTAGTACCAGGACACTACTGGGAGGCTGGGACCTGACCGAAGCCCATGGTGTCTGTGGCCTGAGGACAGGGTGTGTTGGGGCCATAAGTCCCGGCCACCAATGGCCATTGGGTCCTAGGGCCTCAGCCCCAGTGTTTGCCCTTCCCTGGCTCCTTCTGGTTCAGTCCCATTAGGGCCCTGGAGCCCAAGACCCAGCACCCAAGGTCCCCTCCAGGAATACTGGCGGCTTGGCTTCCTTTATCATGTTTCATCTGAGAGCAAAAATGTCAGATCGGATGCACAGAAAAATGGCCCAAATTGTTTAATAACTAGAAGAAATATAGGAGCAGCAAGAGGGTAATATGGAGAGGGGAGGGCCTCCATGACCGGTGTCTGCAGAGCCAGGGGTACAGGCACCCAGTGTTGTGGCCTGGCACCACCGGCCTCTCAGAGCGTGGGTGGCCCACTGTCTTTACCCGGAGGACAGCAGGCCTGATCACCAGCTTTTCTACCTGTCCCTGTAAGCATCACGTTGCTAGAAGAAAATCTCATGCCAGAGCTTGCACCATCCCTAGCTTGGGGGTTAGGGGTTGTCTCTTGGTGACCTAAATGAAAAAATAGGTCCAGATCAGAGTTCCTGACGCAGAGCACTCACCCACTCTTTGAATCGTGGGAGGGGAGGCCTGGTTTTAGTTAAACCTAACCTCTTTGAGGAACCACAGAGCCCAAGACTGGAAGCCTTCAGAATCTTCTGGCCCCCAACCCTCCCTGGGGACCCCTGTGGCCTGTCTCACCAGAGCACTCTTCTGTCTGTAGATGTCTCAGCTGCTCTACAAGGGAGTCCCATTTCAGGTGTGGGGCTGGGCATGGTCACTCCTGCTGGATGTCTAGAAGGTGGAAACTAAGGACCTAGGAAAATGCCAGATACAGCCTTTCCACCCTCATCCAGAGCAGGACAAACAGGCCCGGTGGTGTCAGGAGCCCAGGTCTCCAGCTGGAGGGAACGTCAACCCTGCAGTGGGAGCAGGGGCCCATCGCACATCCTAGGCACAGATGCTAATGCAGGCACTGCAGGTAAGCTGGGCTTGGTATCCTTCCCTGGCTTCAGAAAGAAGCCAACAAGGAGCGTTTTGCAGAATGAAACCTTTGTTTCCAGAAGCACTGCTGACTGTAAGTGGTTGCCGTTTGTGGCAGTGAGCATTTTGTCCATTCTGAGGTTGGATTGGTTTCTCCTTTTGGCCTTGCCCTGCCCTACAGACCATAAAGGAGAACAGCAAGAAGCCCCCAGCAAACATCCACATATGGCCCTGGACATCAGCCACATTCTGAGGAACATGTCATGTTCTGGGAGGGCTAAGGCATCAAGTAAGGCCTGTGGGGCTGGAGGATCCAAGGCAAGGTGGGGCAATCCAGAGCCATGGGGGCTTCCCATGGGAATTGGGAGGTCCCAAGGCAGAGTCAGAGGTTCCACAGGAGGAGTCAGAGAGTCACCAAGGGCTCTCCTGGCCCAGGGAGCAGTCAACACCATGGACTGAACACTTGCTGGGCTCCAACCCTTGGGCCAGGCTGCCCATGTGGGGCCAGGAGGCAGCTCAGAGTGGGAGGCAGAGAGAGAAGTGTGCTCAGAGGGCACCTGTATCTGGATGTAATGTGGTCCTGAGACTCTGGCTGGGAAGTGCTTCCAGGGTATCATATGTGTTATGCAGCTACTTCCTCTCCCCAGCCTTACCCTGTAGGAATTCTAGTGACTATGTTGCCACCATCTTGGAGCTCCATGCCCTCATAGTGTAATGGCACCAGCAGATCTGCCTGTGCACAGACTTCCTGTACTACCTCACTCCTGAGGGGAGATGCTTCTGCGGGCCTGCGACCTGGTGCTCAACTTTAGACACCATCATCCTGGAGCGGCACTGCACCCTCACTAGCCAGGGTGTTGACGTCCTCAAGGCCAAGGCCACATTCAAGACTTTGGACTTCATTGATGCACTTGTGCCGAGCAAGGTGGGCATCTCTGGGATCTTAATTCAGGAGGTAGAATGCAGCTTGAGATCAAGTGTCTGATCAAAGAACTTGAACTTGATCTGGAGGGCTCTGGGGAGCCATGGAAGGTTCTGGATAAAGGAGGGACAGTCAGCCACGTTTTAGAGATGACTGTGGAAGGCTTCCTGGAAGGAGTGAACAACAGCCAGGAGACCAGGGAGGGAGCTTGTCGGGCAGGTCTGGAGATGGCAAGGGAGGGATCCTGCTTGGATGAAAAGTCTTTAGGGACCATCTCAGGTTACTCTCAGGTGCCCTCTGAGTTAGTGTGTTCTAAGTAAGGGGTTCTAAGCCTCCTATTGTGGCTCATCCCTGACAGTGTCAGCACCAGCTAGCTCCCCTAACCCCACAGCTCAGGGTCCACTTTGCTTCTGCATCCTGCATGTTCCTTTTCCTGCTGAAAAGCAGATTCCCCAGCGAGCAGCAGAATCCTGTTTCTCCCTGTAGGCCCCTCTGCTCCTTATGAGTGGTGTTTTGTGGGATTCCTCCCTTGGTTTTGGATGAGAACACCCTTTCCCATTCCACAGGGATTGTTTCTGTGGACCTTATCCCAGGTTTTCCCCTGGTCGGGCACCGGGCAGGTGGGGGTGGTGGGACCAACTTTTTAGAACCAGCAATGCCAAACAGATCCCACTCAGGGAAAGTCCATGCTAAGTGTCATGGGTCCTATGGAATTTTCTGAAGCTTTCCTTTTCTCCCCCACCTTCAACCAGCTTATCTGATCTTCTGGGATCTCTACTAGGATGCTGGCAGCCCAGCCAGCTGGTCTGGCCCTGGACGTGCCTTCAGGGGCTGGGTATGCTTCATGACCTGTGTTTTGGTGAGTGGTAAGCAGCACCTGCTTCTAGCTTCACTGTTGGGCCAGATTTCATCCCCACCGTGGCTCTTCATTGCGGCTGCTTTCTGCTCCCTCCATGGACCCTGCGTGGAATTGCCCCATGTTTCTGTTTGGGCACCACTGAGGAAGGAAGCATGAAGGACGCACAGGTCAGGCCATTCTGTTGCCCACCTCGTGCTGGGTCTTTACTCCTGGGATGGCTTCAGGGGCAGCTCCTTTTCCATGCCTCCCCCCACCCAACATCTCTCAGGTTGCTGCTCAAAGGTCACCTCTTGGAGGGGTCTCTCCCTGTCACTGTGTTTGGAACAGCTCCCTCAGTTTCTTTCTAGCTCATCTCACTCTGGTAATGTCTTTCATTACCACCACCATCTGACCTGGTCTTACGACCTGTTAGCTTCCTTCATCAGACAAGAGCACCAGGATGGCAGGGGCCTCATCTGTCCTGTTCCTCCTGTGGCCTGGGTCCTAGCACCATGTCTGGTACAGTGTAGGTGCTCAAGGGAAGTTTACTTTATAGAACTGTCTACCTGGGAGAGGTTACTGTTAGTCTAAGCTGCACTATTTGGTAAACCCCTTGCTGTTTTGCAGATCCTGGTTGGAGTAAAACATTCCATGGGAACTCGGGCTGTGAGAAATGTCCTAACCACCTGACTGCAGAAACATCCTTATCACATCCTGCTGGGCAAAGGCCCAACAGCCTGACTTCAGGAACATCCTTATCATCTTCTACTGAGCAGCAAGCTATACTGTCCAGAGCCCTCCCTCCCAGCGCTATGATTACCCCAGCCTGTGAGCGGCAGTGGGCACTGACACTAAGCTGGTTTCCCCCTCCGCAGGGTTTTGCTAGTAATAAACCTGTGTTGCTGTTGAAGCGGCCAGTCTCTCTCTGTGTGTGTGTGTGTGTGTGTGTGTGTGTGTGTGTGTGTGTGTGTGTGTGTGTGTTTCTTTAACTCTTGCCTTGCCTTCAAATCCTTACAATAACTCCACTTCTCCATTTTACCATGGAGGATACGGGACTCAAGGAGAGCAAGTAACTTACCCAGAATTACACAGCCAGTGAGTCACAGAGTCTGAACTTGAACTCAGTTCAGCTGAATCCAGAACTCCCATCTTCCTGAGAGTGCAGGAAAGGAAAGGTGGATATGCAGCTGGTGAGCAGCCCACATGCTTTTTCTAGGAGACCCCAAGGTGGGCTCCTGGGAATTATGTCTTCATGGTCACAAAAGAAGGACTGCTCACCTGCGCTGTGCATCAGCTAAGTGTCCCCATTGTCCCAAATCTGCATTTCTTTTTATTATTTTACTTATTTATTTTATTTTGAGATAATGTCTCACTCTGTTCCCCAGGCTGGAATGCAGTGGTGTGATCTCAGCTCATTGCAACCTCCACCTCCTGGGTTCAAGCTATTCTCCTGCCTCAGCCCCTGAGTAGCTGGGACTACAGATGTATGCCCAGCTAATTTTTGTACTGTTAGTAGAGATGGACTTTTACCATGTTGGCCTGGCTAGTCTTGAACTCCTGACCTCAAATGATCCACCCACCTCAGCCTCCCAAAGTGCTGGGATTACAGGCATGAGCCACTGTGCCAAGCCTCAAATCCTCACTTCTTTTCAAAGGTTTTTTTTTTTTTTTTTTTGAGATGAAGTCTCACTTTTGTCACCCAGGCTGGAGTGCAATGGTGCGATCTTGGCTCACTGCAACCTCCACCTTCTGGGTTCAAGCAATAGTAGGAAATCCTACTATTTGTGACAATGTGGATGAACGTGGAAGACACGCTAAGTGAAATAAATAAGCCACACAGAAAGATAAATATTAAATGATCTCACTTATACATGGAATCTGAAAAAGTCGAACTCACGGAAACCAAAAGCAGAAGAGTGGTTACCAGCAGTCTGAGGGTGAGGAAAATGGACAGATGTTGGGGTACAAATTTTTACATGTAAAATGAGTAACTTTCTGGAAACCTAATGTAGAACATAGAGACTCTAGTTAATGTATACTTGAAATATGCTGAGAGAGTAGATCTTAAATATTCTCACCACAAAAACTCAGGAGGCTGAGGCAGGAGAATCGCATGAACCTGGGAAGCAGAGGTTGCAGTCAGCCAAGATTGCACCACTGCACTCCCAGCCTGCGTGACAGAGTGAGACTCCGTCTCAAAAAAAAAAAAAAAATGCTATGTATGTTGAAGGGAATGTTAATTAGCTTGGTTGTGGTAATCATTTCACAACGTATACACATATCAAAATATATTGTACACCTTAAAGACATAATTTTTGTCAATTATATCTCAATGAAGCTAACCAAAAAAAAAAACTGCATCCCAGCCTTGGGCAGTGGTAGACAATGGATTCAATGGTTAATAGGATGATATGGCTGGGAATGACTCTCAGAAACATGAGGACTTGGTTGGATGGCTAACCATCCCAAGTTAACCTCGTAAAGAGGAAGGCAAGAGACCTAGAGCCAGATCCCAGAGTTAAAATCCCAATCCAAAGCAAAGTCTTATGGCAAAACATTGGTTGATATCATCTTTCTTTCTTTCTTTCTTTCTTTCTTTCTTTCTTTCTTTCTTTCTTTCTTTCTTTCTTTCTTTCCTTCCTTCCTTCCTTCCTTCCTTCCTTCCTTTCTTTCTTTCTTTCTTTTTTTTTTTTTTTGAGACAGAGTCTCGCTCTGTCACCCAGGCTGGAGTACAATGGAGCCATCTCAGCTCACTGCAAGCTCTGCCTCCTGGGTTCATGCCATTCTCCTCCTGCCTCAGCCTCCCGAGTAGCTGGGACTACAGGCACCCACTACCATGCCCAGCTAATTTTTTGTATTTTTGGTAGAGACGGGGTTTCACCGTATTAGCTAGGATGGTCTCCATCTCCTGACCTCATGATCCGCCCGCCTCGGCCTCCCTAAGTGCTGGGATTACAGGCATCAGCCACTGCACCCGGCCGATATCATCTTTCTAGAGCCAACGACAAAAGCAGCACTTATTTCCTGTACCATGAATTTGTGGGATGATTCAGACCAAATTCCTCAGCCCTCTTCAGGACATTTTGGCTAACTGAGGTCTTCTTGTCATGTTGGAGAAAGGGAGCAAGATGGGGATTCTGCATAACTCAAGCCCCAACATGTGGGGACAGACTCAAGTAGATCACCACTGAGGCTTTTTGTGGTAATGTGGATACTGGGAAGCCTGAGGAAGGCTGTGGCCACAAACAGGCTCATTGAATTTACCCCTTGAAATCTGCACAGAACTTGGACAGCTCACTCCCCGATGAGCCATCACATTTATACCTGCAGCTATGACCTTTCTCTTGAGCCTCAGACCCTTATATCCTCCTGAGCACTGGTTATTTCTACTTTGATATTTAAAAGACCCCTGAAAACTAACTCCTCTCAAACTAACTGTTCATGTGGACAATTGACGTGTCAGAACCAAACCTTAGACTTCTCCAAACTTACTGTCCCTCAGTACCCCTTTGCTGTGAAAGCAACATCATCCTGACAGGTGTTCAGAATACAGCTTTGTGGTATTTCTTGACTTATTCCCCTGTTGCCTCTTCTCCATCCCATCAGCAAAGCCTCTATCCCTACCTTCAGGATATGCCTGTGTCTTACCACTTCTTTGCCTTCATCTGTTCTTGACACCATCACTTCTTGACAGGATGACTGTGGCTGCCTACTAACAATATTCCTTCTCCTGTCCTTGCACCCAGTCTGTGCTCCAGTCAGCACCAGAATAACCTCCCAGGTCACTCCTCAGCTCAAAACCCCAATATATTTCCACTCATCAGAGTAGAAGCCAAAATATGCCCATCACCCATGAAGTCCAGGCTGAGCTGGCCACTGGTTATCTCTCTGATCTAACTCCAGAGCTGGGCCTTCACTCACTCTGCTGCAGTCTAAAAGGTTACCTTGCTGCTCCTTGAATACATGAAGATGCACCTGCCCCAGGGCTTGGCATTTGCTCTTCCCTCTGCTTTGAATTGCTACCCCTGATACCCAAATGATGGTCTCTCTTCTGTTCCAATCTCTGCTGAAATGTCACCTTGTCAATGATGTCTCCCCAGATCACTTGTAGTGATCATCCATTAGGAACAGTGTTGACACCCACCCCCAAACCACCCCCTACCAACTTCCTGCCCCATTTCTCTTGCAGCTCTCATTATCATTTGGCATGCCAAATACCATCCTTATTTGTGTATTTCTCTCCTTCATCGCTAGATTGTAAGTTTCATGAGGGCAGGATTTGTTTCCACTTTGTTGCTGCTTTATCTCCAATGACTTTTAGAGAGTAAGCACACAGTAAATGCCTGTTAAAAGAATGATTGAATTGCATGAGGACAAAGAAACTTTTATTTTACTGTCATAATGCCATGACTTCCTGAAAATCTCCATGTGGATCTCTATGTCAGCTTTTTACTGCCTCTACTTAATTTTCTCCAAGACCTTCCTTGGAAATATCTGTAGGCTTAGGAAGTTTTAGTAGTAAATAGTGGAGTAAATAAATAAATAAATAAAATAAAATAAAATAAGTTATGAAATATACCTAGCAGCCATGAAACCTCAACTTATAAAATGCAGAGAAGACCAGATACGTAACACTCTCACCTGTTGGAGGTGGCTGAGGAGTTGGTCTTTGTGTGGCCTAAATCAGAACTCAGATGGCAAAAGTGACTAGCTCAAATCTCAGGGTAGTGGAATCTGCAAGAAGCAGTGAGTATGGCTTGTGAAAAATGTACCAAGCTACAGAACCAGGGATGCCAGCGGAAAGAGGTTTTTGATTAAAAAATGCAATAGAATGCTGAGGCCTCTAGAAGAGGCAGGAGTGAATCTCCTAGGGAAATTAAGACATTAATAACAGCTGTCTATGTGGGGTATTTGGAAAAATAGCACACACATAGGCCCATGGAAGGTTTATGTCCAAAAGACCTTAAATCTTTACACTAGAGTGATTAACAAAGGTCTTCCTCTGCGCAGAGCCATTCTTCAAAGATTGGGAGAGGTGGCCATTTAATCCAAATTGCAGTTTTCAACAAAAACTTACAAGGCATGTAAGGAAATAGGAAAACATGCATAGCCCATTCAAAGGAAGAAAATGAATATCCAGACTCATCTTTGAAAAAACACAGGTCTCAGACTTACTAGATCAAGATTTCAAAGCAGCTGTCTTAAATATGCTTAAAGGGCTAAAGGAAAACACAGACAAGGAAGTAAAGGAAATCAGGAAAACAATATATAAACAAATAAGAATATCAACAAAGAGATTGGAATTGTAAAGAGAACCAAATAGAAACTCTGGAGCTGAAAAATAGAGTAACCTAATAGAAAAATTGACTAGAAGGATACAAAAGCAGACTTGAAAAGGCAGAAGAAGGAATTAGCAAACGTGAAGATAAGTCCATTGAAACTATCAAGTTAAGGAGCAAAAGAAAAGAGTGAGGAAAAGTAAACAGAGCCTAAGAGACTATGGGACACCATATACCAAACACATATACATTATAGAAGGCCCCAGACAAAAGAAAGAGAAAAGGGCGGAAAAATTATTTGAAGATGTAGTGGCCAAAAACCTCACAAATTGGAGGAAAGATGTAAATATACAAATCCAAAAAGTTCTGTGAATCCATGTTGGTTAAACCCAAAGTTACCCATAGTACATTCATGCATAATTATGTAGGATTTGAAGATTAAACATTTTAAATACCTTTTATAATAGCATCCAAAATCATAGGGATACATTTAACAAAAGTGTGTAAGAAAACTAATGAAAACTAAAACTTTGCTGAGAAAAACAAAACTACTGTTAACAGATGACTTCTTTCCAAATATATCTATAGATGCAATGGAATACCATTCCAAATTCTAGTTGGTTGTTAAAAATAGAAACTAACAAGCTGATTTAAAAATATATATGGAAATTCAATCTAGAATATATAAGATATATATGGAAAAGCAACCTAGAATAGCCCAAAGAATTTTGAAAATGAAGAAATTTAGAGGACTTAAACTACCTGACTTCAAGATTTAGAATAAACTCACAGTCTTCAAGATTATAATGTAGTGGTGAAGACAACACAATAAATCAATAAAAAAGATTCCAGGAATAAACGCATGTATATATGGTCAAATGATTTTTTCAACAAAAACCCAAAAGCAATTCAATACGAAAAGAAAACAATTTTTTTCAAAAAATGATGTGGAAACAAGTAGATATCCATATGAGGGGGAAACAAACCTCAACTCTTACTTCACACCCTATATAAAAATTATTCCAAAAGGGATCACAGGCCTACTCATAAATAAAGTAAAACTAGAAAGCTTTTAGAAGAAAAACTAGGAGAATATCTTTATGACTTTGGGGGTGGACATAAATTTGTTAAGGAATTGACAGAAAGCACTGGCCACATTGTTTTGAAAAATTTGAGTTCATTAAAATTTAAATCTTCTGACCATCAAAAGACATTCTTAAGAAACAGGCAAATCTCAGACTGACAGAAAATATTCATATGTATCTGTCAAGGGACTTATGTTAAGAATATATTTTCTAAAAGTTGCTACAATTCAATAATAAAAAGACTAACATCCAAATTTTAAAATGCACAAAAGCTTTGAACTGACAATTTACAAAATAAGATATATGGCAGATCAGCACATTAAAAGATGCCCAGCGTCATTAATCATCAAGGAAGTGCAGATCAAAATTGCCCCCTGACACGAATACAGACCTACCAGAATTGCTAAAATGAAAAAGGCTAATCATTGCTAATGCAACAGCACCTCTCATACATTACTGTATGGTGTAAAATGATACAACCATTTTGGAAGACTGTTTGCAAGTTTCTTAAAACATTTATACATACCTCTTCCTTTTCACCACAGCATCTACAGAAATGCAAACACATGTCCACAAAAAGCCTTGCGCAAAAGTGTTTACAGCAGCCCCAAACTAGAAGCAACCCAAATGTCCATCTACTGGGAAGTAAATAACCAAACTGTAGTACATGCATGCAACTGTCTTCTCCTTCCAGGCTAAGTTCTTTGCTTTTAAGGGCTTCTGGGATTAGATTGGACCCACCCAGATAATTCCAGATAATCTTACTTTCAGTCCCACAAACACCACCATCCCCTGTACCACCCCAGCCCTCCTGCTCTTCAGAGCTCAGCGCACAGGGTTCATTTCCTCTGGGATGACCTTCTCTGCTAAGTCAGTTTATACAGGGTTCCCTTCTTGTGCAGAGCTAGGCCAGCTTCCCACGTTCCAGGGCAGACTCACTTTGAGCAGGCTGTGTGTGTGTGTGTGTGTGTGTGTGTGTGTGTGTGTGTGTTCCTGGCTTTCTGCTATAAATTGAAGATCGTGCAGGGCAGGGACTATGTCTTTTTCTTCTTTTTGCCCTCCACTTAGTCCCTGACACAGTCCAGCTTAGTGGAGAAGCATGCGATCTGTAGAATCAGATGGAACCATGTGAGGTTTGGGACCACAAGTGGATACACAAAACAGGAATCCTCTCTAATAAGGATACCCTTGAGCCAAGCGCTGGGTAAGTGAGGAAGGCACAGCCACAGGGGAATCTGGGAAAGGCTCTGCAAGTGCACAGGCCCTGGGGCCCGCATGTGCTGAGTGTGAGAAAGAGCAATAGGCCAGGATGGCTAATGAGAGTGAGGGAGGGGCCCGCGTTAGGAGGCAGTGGGGACAGATGGTGTTGACCCTTTTGCTCATGTAAGGGCTTGGGTCCATGTTATGAGTGAACCGGGATGCCATTGGCAGATTTGAGTGGAGGAGTCACACGATCTGACTTTTGTCTAACAGGAACATCTCCTGAAGCGCTGAGAATAGATTGAACAGCCAAAGCGTGGAGGTCAGGGCAGAGGTGACTCTATGTGCAGCAGCCTCCCCTCATCACTGGAGTCTTCAGTATTGTTTGTGCAGGAAATGTAGGATCACTGCTTGATTCTTTTCCTTCATTTACCAATTGTCATAGCAATCAGTTGGTTCCCTAGCATCCACCAAAGGAAACAAATGGGGCTTTTTTTTTTAGACAGACAGGGTCTGGCTCTGTCGCCCAGGCTGGAGTGCAGTGGCACAATTACCGCTTACTGCAGCCTCGAAGTTTTGGGCTCAAATTATCCTCCCACCTCAGCCAAGTAGCTGGTATTACAGGCATGTGCCACCATGCCCAGCTGACTTTTTTATTTTTTCTAGAGTCAAAGTCTCACCATGTTGCCCAGTCTGGTCTCAAACTCCTGGCCTCAAGCAATCCTCCAGCCTTGGCCTCCCAAAGTGCTGGGATTACAGGTGCGAGCCACCACATCCTGCTTAATGAGCATTCTTAATATTATTATAAAGTCTTGAGTTTTTCAAATATTTGATATGTTTCAAAACATTCCAGTTATTATTTTATAGCTCAAATTATCCCATATTTGGCCAATGAGAGCCTCTTCATGTTGGCGTCTGGACCCTTTACACGTGTGCCCAGTAGTCCCTGATGGCTCCTTGGCATCTGTTATAACAAGATGCTCCAGGCTCATCTGGTACATTTCCTGCACCAGGTAGGGAACAAGCCATTTCTCTAAGGATCCCTAGTTCCTTTTAGGTGGAAGTGACATTTAGAGTCCACAATGTAGACAACAGGAGTGCTTGTTGCTTCTAGATTTTTGTTTCCTGGAATATTCAGTGGATAGAGGTAGAACATATGTATTGTTAAATTTTAATTTTGAGATACTTGTAGATTCACAAATAATTTTAAGATATTATTTACACAGATCTGCATTCCATTTACTCAGTTTCTCCCAACAATAATATCTTGCAAAGCTATATTGCAATATCACAACCAGGATATTAGCATTGATGCAGTCAAGACGCATTACCTTCACTGCAAAAGCCCCCTCAAGTTTTCCTTTTCTAGCTACACCCACCTCCCTCCTGCCCCCAGTCCCTCCTTCATCTCTGACAACCACTGAATCTATTCTCCATTTCTATAGTTTTGTCATGTCAAGAATGTTATATCAACAGAATTATGCATTCTGTAGCCTTTCAGCATTGGCTTTTTTCACTCTGTAATTCTCTGAAGATTCATCCAGGATGTTGTGCATATCAATAGTGTATTCCTTTTTATTGCTGAAGAGTATTCTGTGCTATGGATGTACCACAGACTGTTTAATCATTCACGAACTGAAGGACATGTAGGTTGTTTCCAGTTGGGGCCACTACGAATAAACTTGCTCTAAACATTTATGTGCAGGTTTTTGTGTAAACCCAAGTCTTCATTTCTCTGGGACAAATGCCCAAGGATGCAGTTGCTGAGTTGTATGGCACTGCCAGTGTCATTTTTTTTAATTGCCAAACTTTTTGCCAGAGTGGCTGTACCATTTTACATTCCCATTAACAGTAAATAAGGGGAAGAATTTCCCTTCATCCTCACTAGCATTTGGAGTTGTCACTATTTTTTATTTAACCATTGTCATATGTGTATAGTAATAGCTCATCATAATTTTAATTTTTATTTTCATAATAGCAAATGATGTTAAATGTCCTTCCTTGTGCTTATTTGACATCCATCTGTGCTTTTTGGTGAAATGCGTGTTCATATCATTTGCCCATTTTCTGTTTGTTTATTTTACTATTGAGTTTTGAGAGTTCTTTATGTAATTTAGATACTAATCCTTTGTCTATTGTATGCTTTCAAAACATTTTGTCCTAGTTGGTAGTTTGTTTTTTCATACTCTTAGCAAGGTCATTCACAGAACAAAATTTTTTTCTTTAATTTTGATAGCATCTGGTTTATCAATTTTTACTTTTATTGATGATGCTTTTGTTGTAAAGTTTAAAATATTCTTTGCCTGGCCCTAGGTCCTGAAGGGTTTTAATGTATTTTTCTAAAAGATTTGTAGTTTTACATGTAAGTCCATGGTCTATTTTGAATTAATTCATGTATGGAGTGTTAGGTTCATGTCACCATTCAACTTTGCTTATGGATATGCAAATTCTCCAGCAATATTTGTTGAAAAAATTCCTTTCCCCACACTGCATTACTTTTATGCTTTTGTCAATAACCTGTCAGTTATATTTATGTGGGTATGAGTTCTCTGTTCTGTTTAATTTGTCTGTGTATCTTTCACTCTACCAATACCACGTGCTGTTGATTACAATAGCTACACAACAAGTCTTGTAATGGGATAGATTGATTCTTCCAACTTGGTAATTCTTTTTCAAAAATGTTTTAGCTATTTTAGTTCCCTTGCATCTCCATGACAATTTTAAAATAATCTTCTATTCATCTACAAAAAAATATTGCTGAAATTTTTATAGGAATTGTATATATGAGTTTGGGAAGAATTAACATCTTTGCTATTTTGAGTCTCCAAATTGAAGAACATGATTTGTCTCGATATTTGTTTAGATCTTTGATTTCTTTCATCAGAATTTCTAATGTTTAGCATTCAAGTCTTATGAATGTTTTGTTAGAATTTGAAATGAGTATTTCCTTTTTTGAGCAATTATAAATGGTACTTATTGTATTTTTAATTTTTATATCCAAGTGTTCATCACTCAAAGTACACTTGATTTTTTTGTATATTTATGTTGTATCCTGCAACCTTGCTGAATTCACTTACTAGTTCTAGGAGTTGTTGATTTTGGTGGTTTAAAATAGATTTCTTTGGATTTTCCACATAGCCATCATGCTATCGGCAAAAGTGAGCAGTTTTATTTCTTCCTTTCCGATCAATATGCCTTTTTTTAAATGCTTTACTAAACTGGCTAAAACTTCCAGTGCGATATTGAATTAGAGTAGTAAGAGCAGATATCTTTGCTTTATTCCCTTTCTTAGGAGAAAAACATTCTTTCTTTGACCATTAAGTATAATGTTAAGTGTTGGAGTTTTTGTAAAAGTTCTTTATCAAATTAAGGAAGTTTCTCTCTATTCTTATTTTTCTCAGAGTTTTTTTTTTTTTTTTTTGTCAGACAGTCTCACTCTGTCACCCAGGCTGGAGTGCAGTGGCTCAATCTCAGCTCAATGCAACCTCCATCTCCCAAGTGCAAGTGATTCTCATGCCTCAGCCTCCCAAGTAGCTGGCATGCATCACCACACCTGGCTAATTTTTTCGTATTTTTAGTAGAGACAGGGTATCGCCATGTTGGCCAGGCAGGTCTCAAACTCCTGGCCTCATGTGATCCACCCACCTCACCTCCCAAAGTGCTCGGATTACAGGTGTGAGCCACCCCACCTGGCATTTCTCAGAGTTTTTATCATGCATTTTGTCAAATGATTTTTCTGCATCAATTGATACGATTATGTGATTCTCTTCTTCATCTTGTTAATATGGTAGGTTACATTGATTTTCACATATGGAACAAGCCTTGCTTTCCAGGAATAAACCCTACTTGCTCATAGTATATAATTCTTTTTACATATTGCTTAATTCTGTGTCTATATTTATGAGGGATATTGGTCTGTAGTTCCTGTTTTGTTTTGTTTTTCAACTGTCTTTGTTTTTGGTATCAAGGTAATACTAGCTTTTAAAAATGAGTTGAGAGAAAGAGAAGGTGGGATTTGGGGGGAAAAGGTTGCAGACTTTTTGACTCAGGTCATTGTGGGCTTAGTCTCTATTGAGTGGCTGGGTTACTACAGGAAGCCACTCTCCATTCTTAGGCACATCTTGTCTATAAAAGGAGAAAGTTCAATGCCTCTAGAAAACCTCAGGTTTATTTTACTGCTTAAAGCCTGTGGCTCTAAATTCAGATCCAGAACTCATGTGGCCTGGCCAGGGAGGGTCAAGGAGTGCTTTCCTTACACCTCATGCCTCTAGGCTCTGTAGACCTAGAGGTGTGGGATGTAAGAGCAGGCCCTTACCCATAGAATTTACATATAAATGGTGGAATAAGACAGTAAGTAAATAAATGTGATTATTCTGATAGTGGTAAAAATAATAAATAAATAAATAAATAAATAAATAAATAAATAAATAAAATAACTTGAGAAATATCCCCTTGTATTTCTTTTTTCTGGAAGAGGTTATATAGAATTGGTATTTATTATTCTTTAAGCTTTGGGCAGAATTTTCCAGTGAAACCATCTGAGCCTGGAGATCTTATGTGGGGCTCTTTGCATTATTTGTTTTATATTGATAAGTTGTGGTAGTTTATGCTTTTCAAGAAAGTGGTCTATTTCATTTAAGTTGACAAACGTATGTGTTTAGAGTTGTTTGTAGTATTCATTTATTATCCTTTCAACATCTACAAGGTCTTTAGTGATACCTTCTGTTTCATGCCTAATATTTATAATCTATAATTCTCTCCTTTTTGCTTTGTCACTCTTGCTAGATGTTTGTGAATTTTATAGATCTTTTTAAAGAACCAGCTCTTTGTTTCATTGGTTTTCTTTATTGTTTTTCTGTTTTAAATTTTATTGATTTCTGCTATTGTAGTCATTATTTCCTTCCTTCTAATTTTGAGTGGGTTTTTTCTCTTATTTTCTATGTACTTCAAGTGGGAGCTTAAATTATTGGCTTGATAATTATCTCATCATCTAATTTATGCATTTAGTTCTATGAATTTCTCTCTCAGCCCTGCT
The DNA here is from genome assembly GCF_000001405.40 of Homo sapiens. Taxonomy (NCBI): domain Eukaryota; kingdom Metazoa; phylum Chordata; class Mammalia; order Primates; family Hominidae; genus Homo; species Homo sapiens. The sequence goes on along the minus strand of NC_000009.12, from coordinate 38,528,877 downwards.
TTATACATGCCCACAAATGTTGATGTGTTGCATTTTCATTGTCATTCAGTTCATTGTATTTTTAATAAGACATATTTATTACGCTAAAGAACAAATTTTATTTTTCATTTTCCCCAAACACTAAAATAGCACATGGCATAGTAATTCAGCACACAACATAAACTGGTATATGCAATCACTAATCCCGAAAATGGTTAAGTCTCACTTTGGGAGTCTTTAAAACCTTATGCCCTTAAATGACCTTTATCAAAGTTATCAACAGACAACCAAAGGAGTCACCTGGAAAAACTTTAGGGTACAAGATACTGCAATTCCTAGAATCTGGGAAACTTTTTATGTGGGAAATAACTTGATTTGCTTCTCTGTAACTGAGCTATTTTTTTCTCTAGCTCATTTTTAAGGTAACACTGCTAGGGTTCCGAGTTTGAGAAGGGATCTTCTAAAGGTAAGTTTAATATTGCAACTTTCACCACAATGCCTCTGTCTAAATTGCATTTCAAGTGGAAGGAAAGAGGTGTGAGAAGTGAAATAGAATTTTGCTGCAGACCAAAATCATTCTACAAAATGTAGAAATGATAATAGCTTACCATGAATTCAGCAAGATTTAACGCCAAGTACAGCAGTGTAGACTTCACAAGTATCCACTTCCATTGGGTGATCAGACAAGCCGAAGGGACACACAGGATTTGGGACAGTAGCCCTTTAGACAGTGTTGGGTGTTGAAGACAGAACTTCATGGTAAATCCGTATGTTCTAATCTGATATTTATACAGGCTATGATCGTCTCCTGAAATGTTTCCCAATTTTTTATATGTCTTTTAAAGCACAATTTAACACATGCTAAAAAATTTCCTTCCGCATCAACCGGCTTTGAATTCAAACTCAACTAAGTCTGCCAGGTCGTACAAACCACACCAGGAACCTAAGGGCTGCATAGTTTGCATCCAGACTTAATGCGAAAGAAATCATTCTAAGACAACTCTTAAAATTAATCTACTTGCATTGTTCTGCTTGTACTTTAAACTATGGCATAATGAATTTGCTAATTCAAAATGTTGCAGCGCCAGTAACCCCAGTGTTATCTGCAGACCATCTGAGGTGCTTTTAAACATTTTCTTGAATTCTATTGTTTGCTTTGAAAACATGGGGTTTAAAAGGTCAAGGAAAATGCGTTTCGTCTCATCTTTCAGGAGCACTTCGGGGCACGCGTGCAGTGTTGCAGACAGGATGGAATGCAGGCAAGAGGGTTCCAACTCAGAGCCCAGACCACTGGGAAAAGCACTTGGTGGGTCATCCCAAAAACTTCCCATTTCCGGCAGTTTTTGATGGCGTGTCAGTCGTGACACCCGAGGCTCTCCTTTGGGGCACTGTCCTCTGTGGCCGTGGGTGGCCCTGGGCCCTCCTCCCAGCCAGTCCCGCCCCAGAGCTTCAACACCACTGCAGGACACCCGAGCAAAATACTCTGTTGGAGCAGGGAACAAACCCACGGCTGCGCTCGGAGTAGCTGCTGAGGCTGGATTTCTTCTTGCTGATTCTTTCACATATGGAAGAACTGGGCCGCCACTGGGAAGCGAGAGGCCAGCCATTTCCAGTGATAATGCCTCACTCTGTGAATTTCCATCAACCGCAGGCTTATTCATCCAGGAGGGTGCATCTGCAGGCCAAGGGCCCTCCGTCGGCATTCTTTTCTTAAGGCTGTATGATAGTTTGTCCGAGTCACCTCCTCCGGCCCACTGTACTTGAGCCAGGCAGGTGCCAAGGGGCCCTCTTCTGTCCCTCATGCTTCGTGTTTTTGGATGCGGTGGGCCTGAGGTCACGCCTTCGTCAGTCCGGGAGGGCCTTCAGTGGATCTCAATATGAACCTGCAGGCGGACGTTGAGCATCATGGAAGCCACCATGTAGAGGTAGGGGAAGTTGATGCGCAGCCGCCAGGCCAGATCGAAGAAGACAGCAGCTTGCGAGTCAGCCCCTTGCAGAAGACCCCACGGGGGCGGGCGGCGGCCGAGCCCTAGAGCCGGACAGCCAGGCCCGACAGATCCGCCGCCATATAGAGCACCCACCACCTCTCCGCGCCGCGTCGCTGCGGCCACTGGCCTTCGCTTGGCGGGCGCAAGAAGCGAGGGAGGCGGCTGCTAGACCGGCGGGCGGGCGGGCTGCGGGAGCGGAGTCCGCGCGTCATGCTCAGAGAAGCGCCTCCGCGAGCCGCCGCCTGGTTCATACCTTCTTATTTTTTCTGCATTTCTGGTTTTTGAAAAATTTTATACAAAAAGCATTCAACAAACAACAGTCAAAATGATTGTGATTGTATCCAGCCTCTATCATTTTACATTCTATGTGATTTTAAGGAATAGTCTTAAGCACCCTGAGTTTCATTTCCTTGATCCTTAAAGGGGTTTATATCTACTTCATTGGGTGTATGAGAACTGACATCCTATTATGTATAAAATGCTGAAAACAATTCCCAGCACTGAACAAAATTTGCAAGCTAATATATCATCGTCATCATCAACAATAACAAAAAATAATAGCAACATAATATACTATTATAGCTCATTACACCATGTCCCTATTTTGTGTGTTGCCTATTATTTTCATCAAAATAGAATTATCAAGTTATTTTAAGTCATTATTTGTGCTTCTGATTATTTCTTGGAATATTAAAAAACAATTTGGGGGATTGTCTTAGTCCATTTCTGCTGCCAAAACGAAATACCACAGACCGGGCAATTTATAAACAATAGAAATTGATTTCTCATGGTTCTAAAGGCTGGGACGTCCAAGATCAAGGTACCAACAGGACTGATGTCTGGTGAGGGCTGTTCTCTGTTTCCAAGATGGTGCCTTTTTGCTCCATCCTCCAGAGGAGCATAACACTGTGTCCTCACATGGTGGAAAGGATGGAACGGGACAAACTCACCCTTTCAAGTCTTTTTATAAAGGCCCAAAACCCATCCATGAGGGCTCCACCCTCATGACTTAATCACTCCCTGAAGGCCCAACTTCTTAATTCTATCACATCGGCAATTACATTTTAGTACTTGAATTTGGGGGATCAGCGGGTATAAAACACTTTAAGAATATTGAAGCCTGTAGCCAAGTTGCACTCCACAACAAGTGAATCACCAATAGTAAAAGAAAAAAGTATAATTTTATTGCTATATTTTTACAACAGCAGATTTGTAAATTAAAATGTTACCTCGCCAATTTGATAGGCATAAAGTGTTACAAAATGTTCTCATTTCAACATGACATTGCAAGTAATTTCATATATTCCTCATTTTTTATTTCTGTGAATCCTGTCTTTAGCCATTGATTTATAAACGGTCCATGTAATAATTTAACCTTGTATTTCTCATGTATTTTTAAATATTTTTCTAGTTTTTTTTTTTTTTAAACTATGCTGTGCTATGCATGAAGAATTTCTAATTATTTTAATTTAATTCATTTAATTTTTCTTTTTTTTTTTAATTTGAGAGAGTCTTACTCTGTTTCCCAGGCTGGAGTGCAGTGGCACGATCTCAGCTCACTGCAACCTCTGCCTCCCAGGTTCAAGCGATTCTTCTGCCTCAGCCTCAAGAGTAGCTGGGATTACAGAAGTGCACCACCACGCCTGGTTAATTTTTGTATTTTTAGTGGAGACCAGGTTTCACCATGTTGATCAGGCTGGTCTCGAACTCCTGGCCTCAAGTGATCCGCCTGACTCAGCCTCCCAAAGTGCTGGGATTATAGGCGTGAGCCACCACGCGTGGCCTCTTTCTTTCCTTTTTTGATTTGCTTAAGAAATCCTAAGACCTCTCAAAAAACATGAAATTTCTATTATAACATAATTAATTGTCCAGCTGTTTAGAACTTATTTTGTTTGTGTGTAAAAATTGTCAAACAACTTTATAGCCTCCAAATAATTACCTAGTTTCCACAACACCGTTCAGTAAATTATTCTAAATTTTCCACCAAATTTATAGCATCAAATTATCAGGTACTTTATTTTTATTTATAATATAATGATTTTCTTTTCTCTGTGTTCTATTTCTTTTATTTATCAGGTTATTTCTATGCTCGTAACTTAATTATTTATCTTTTTTATTACTACATGAAATGCATTGCATATACGAAAGTTCATGAATGAACTTTTCATCTTTTCATGATGAACTTTTCCAACATAACTTATTGATTATACTTTCCTATTTATTACTCTAAATGAATTTCAGAATATCTTTTTTATAACATATTTGTTCCTTGATTACAATTCTATCAATAAATTGAATTTGTAACATTTAGCAGCTTTTGAATACTTAATTCTTTTTCCCATCACCCTCATATTTTTTCTAGGATTTTAAAGTTTTCTTTATGTCATTTCCTAAGTTCATGGGTTCTTTTATCTGGTTTATATGTATTTCTCTCTGTTTCTAAAACATCATAGTTGCATTCCTATTTGGGTAGAATCCTTCCTCTGAATATTCCCTAATCATTAGCATGAACACTTCTTCCCTACTTTTTTGTTCCTCAGTTATGGGAGTGCCTGTTGTGCTTTGATCTTTGAAGGAGCATTTTATTTATTTTTATGTTATTTTTTATTGTTTTTTATTTTTTTGAGACGGAGTCTTGCTCTATTGCCCAGGCTGGAGTTCAGTGGCTCAATCTCAGCTCACTGCAGCCTCCACCTTCCGGGTTCAAGCAATTCTCCTGCCTTAGCCTCCTGAGTAGCTGAGATTACAGGTGTGTGCCACCACACTTGGCTAATTTTTGTATTTTTAGTAGAGACAGGGTTTCAACCATGTTGGCCAGGCTGGTCTCGAACTCCTGGCGTCAAGTGATCCACCCACCTCGGTCTCCCAAAGTGCTAGGATTACAGACGTGAGCCACCACACCCCGCCTGAAGGAGCATTTTAAATTTCAGTGAAGGTCTCTGAATTGGGGAGAATGAAAACACACAGAGGTTTGGGATGAAAGTGGGCATGATGGGGAAGCAGAGGGGCTTTCCCCCTAGTGTGTTTCTCTTCTCTGTGGAGAGCGATGAAAACAAGAGGGACATGAGGGGTGGCAACTGGAAGACTCTTCACTGCTAGATTTGCCACAAATGGCTGCAGAAACTTTCCTCGTTATCCATAAATTTCAGTTTTTTCATTCGTAAATGTTAATGCTGGGAACAGATCATCTCTTAGGTTCCATTTAGAGCCCATAGAGCCCAATGGTGAAGGGCCTGGTCCCAGGAGGCATGCTGAGCAGAGGCTGATCCTGTGCTGAGCAGATGCCGACACTGTGCCTTTCAGGTTACTCCAGGTGGGTCAGTGGGAAAACTTCACTTCATTGACAGGGCCTTAATTGTTGGGACCTTGTCAGACACCCCTTTGCAGACAGTGTCACTGAGACTGCAGTTGCGATGATAATGACAGCTGGTGTGGGGAGGTCAGTTCCAGGATCCTTCCCTATATCTGGGGACCTTCTCTGTTATTCCCCTCCAGGCCCCTGCTCTCAAAGGCTCTGTGTGTGTGAGGAGGCGGCTGCAGAACAGCAGACTTCCCTTTGGTAAGAGCCTCCCCTTTCCAAGTCTCTGTGCGTGAGGAATGCACAAAACAGGGACGTGCTCCAGTGAATTATAACAGTGTATTAAGTTACTGTTATTTTGTGGTTGTTGAGGATCATGATGGTATATTAGCTAACATGTCTTAGCCAGACACGCTCTTTGGCATTTTATGTATATAGTACTATATCAATTCTCACACATCTATTACAGTAGCTGTAATTATAGTCCCCCTCTTAAAGATAAAGAAAATGAAATTCTGATTCAGAATATTGCTTGAAGTCTACAGTGGGTAAGTAACAGAGCCTGGTTATAATCCTAGTGAATTTGAGTAGTTTTAAATAAACACCTTATGGAAGTTTCTTTCTGGCATCCATGGTTTCTGATGTCACGGGAATTGTCCTCATATAGAGAATAGAGCATTTCTCTTTGGTTTTTTCGAGTTTTCGGAAATCTGGTCATGGTGTATCTGGACATGGATTCATTTGGACACGACCCCTTAGTGGTTATCTTATCTCCTTGAATTTATGTATTTCACCATGTTTGTGATGTTTTTTGCCATTATTTGTTCAAAAATGTTTTCAGTCAGTCCTGTCCTTTTTTTTTTTTTTTTTTTTTGAGACGGAGTTTTCCTCTGTCGCCCAGGTTGGAGTGCAGTGGCATGATCTCAGCTCACTGCAACCTCTGCCTCCCGGGATCAAGTGATTCTCCTGCCTCAGCCTCCCAAGTAGCTGGGATTACAGTCACCTGCCACCATGCCTGGCTAATTTTTGTATTTTAGTAGAGACGGGATTTCACCATGTTGGCCAGGCTGGTCTCAAACTCCTGACCTCAAGCGATCCACCTGCCTCGGCCTTCCAAAGTACTGGGATTACAGGCATGAGCCACTGCGCCCGGCAGGTACTCCTTTCTTTTCTCCGTCTGGGAGCCAATCATTTGAAAGTTAGACCTTTTGTTATTTTCCCACAGGTCTCTGAGACTACATTCACTTTTCTCCATTGTGTTTTGTCTCCTCTATTCTAACAGGACAATTTCTATTAAACTTGTCTTCAAGATCCCTGATCTTTCCTCTGTCATCTCCATTCTCTTGAGTCTGTCCAGTGCAATTTATTTCTATTATTTTTTTCACTTCTAAAATTTTCATTTAGTTCTTCCTGGTATCTTTCATTTCTTTGCCATGAATTCGTATTTTCCCCTTGTTCCAAGTATGCCTGTAATTGCTTGTTGGAGCACTGTTGTGATAGCTACTTTAAAATCCTCATCACGTAATACCAACATCTGTCTCATCTCAGTGTTGGGACCTAAAGATTGTATTTTCTTGTGCAAGTTTATTGTTTTATAGTCCTTGGTATAATGAATAGCTTTGGACTGTATCCTGAATGTGCTGAGTATTATCATACATCACGAGACTGGATACTCTTCACACCTGCTATTTCAACAGAGAGTCCTCAGACAACAACAGAGAGTGCTTAGGTCCATAATACAGCTCAGTGCACTTTTTGGGCTGTGGTTCAGCTCTCCCTTGATCTTTAAATGCTTTGCAGTGATGCTCATGCTTTCCCCACTTGCCTGCTTCCCAGAGCCTCATCTCACACCTGTGTGAGTTCAGACCAGTGCTAAATTCTCACACATTCTGCTGTGTTGTTTCTGGTCCCTTTCAGACACAGACTGCTCAGATTTCTGCCCAGAAATTCACGCACACATCGTGGAATTGTCCTCAGTTTTCAGGAGTCAGCTCAAATATCACCCACTCAGAGAGGTTTTCCCCAGGCCCTTGTCTAAAGTTGATTCTTCTAGTCCTTTCCATTGCTTCATATAATATTTTCATATTTATCACAACTTTGTTCTATGTTTCCTTACTTGTTACTAGTCTATCTTTTCACTCCCCCCCAATAAAATATTAACTACGTAGAGATAGGGATTTTTTAAACTAATTATTCAGGACCTAACACAATGCTGGACAAATATGCATATATTTCAAGAAATTTGTACAATATCTGCACTACAGTAACTGCTCTGTATACATTACCTTGTTCAGCACAGTTTTTCTAATGCTAAGTATACAATTTTAAATTTTCATTTTAACTTTCTTTTCTCCGAAGAAAATTTATTCATATTAACTAAATATTTAAAATCACTCTTGATGGATATATAACATTCTATTATAACTAATATTTTAGTGATATAACACGTAAGCCCTTGAACCACAGATTTATTGAGCAAATATTTAATAGGCTTTAAATCTAGCTGGGACTATTTTGGGTAATTAAAGAGACATATAAGACTCCTTTCTTTGCTGGGTGCAGTGGCTCATGACTGTAATCCCAGCACTTTGGGAGGCTGAGGCAGGCGGATCACTTGAGGTCAGGAGTTTGAGACCAGCCTAGCCAACATGGTGAAACCCCGTCTCTACTAAAAAGACAAAAAAATTAGCTGGGTGTGGTGGCGAGCACTTATAATCCCAGCTACTGTGGAGGCTGAGGCAGGAGAATCACTTGAACCCAGGAAGAGGAGGTTGCAGTGAGCCACTGCACTCCAGCCTGGGCAATGGAGGGAAACTCTATCTCAAAAAAAAAAAAAAAGAAAGAAAAGGAAAGACTCCTTTCTTCAAATAGCTTACATTCTAGTTGAGGGAAGGCGTTAATAAGTAAACAAATCAATAAATAGATTAACGAGGTAATCCAGTGCATAACAATTGATGTGGGAAATTAGAGTAAGGATACGGAGAGTGACTAGGGAGGTGGATTATTGGGTACTTGAGTCAAAGATGAGTTTCAGGAGAGAAAAATCAGACATGTCAGAAGTCCAGGAAAGGACCTTTCAGAAACTAGTCTCTCAGCAGCACACCTTCTTTTGTTCAAGAAAGGGCAGGAAGCACAGTGTCGCTAGAGTGCAGGAGCAGAACAGAGGAAGGAGAGGGGTGGCGCGACCAGGCTTTGTTTTGGTCAAGGAATCTCTTGTATTCTAATTGAAACTGGAAGCCCTTGGTGACATTTGATGCATGTCACGGTACTTCATTTTTATTGCTGTGTAGTATTCTGTTGTATGAATACCCCAATATGCATATACCTGTTCTAGATTTGATAGGCATTTGATAATTCTGGGGTTTGGGCTATTGTGAACAACTCCACTGTGAACATTATTGTTCATGACTCTTGGACATAAGTACCCACTTCCTTTCAGTGTATGCCTAAGAGTGATTTGCTAGGTCATAAGATGTGCACGTATGTGTGTATATTTTTGTGTGGGTTTATCTTTAGTAGGAACTGCCAAAATATTTTTTAAGTGACTCAAACAATTTATCCTTTTACCAACAATGTAAGACAGTTCCAGTTGATCCAAATTCTTGCTAAACTCAGCATTTTAGGCCTTTTAAATTTGAGACATTATGGTAGGTGTATAGTGGCATTATTGTTTTATTTATATTTATCAGGTGACTAAGGATGTTGAGGACTTTTTTATACGATTAGGATATCCTCTTTTGTGAAATAGATTTTCAAGTATTTTGTCTATTTTTTTTTGGGTATCTTGTCTTTTTAAATTGATTTCTAGGAGTTCTTTATATATTTTGGATATTAGTATCATCGAATATATGTATTACACGTATCTTCTCTCTGTTTCTGGATTCCTTTTACAAAATATAATTATAGTAAAATCTGCATTCTGTGAAAAGTAAGTTCATAATATACATTCCAGTGTGTTTTGATAAATATTTACATCCATTCAAAATATAGAAAAGTTCCATTACTACAGAAATTTCCTTTGTGTCCCTGTCAGTCACCATGCAAAAAATCATACTGCTGTTGCGATTTCTATGACCGTGTATTTGACTGTTCTTGAACTTTATATATAAATGAAGTCATACACGGTATGTACTTGAGTATTCTGGCCTATTTTTTCGGCATAGTATTTCTGGTAGTCAGTCATGCTATTGCATGTATCACAATGTGTTTTTTTTTTTTTTTTGGTCACCTGCATGTAAAGTAAATGTATTCTTTTATTGGTGAGTAGGATTCCATTGTAGGAATATGCCACAGTCACTTTATTCATTATCCCTTGATGAATTTATGGTTTATTTCCAGTTTTGCTTATTACTAAGAGCAACTATAAATATTCTAGTACAAGAATTTTTATGATTTTTTTTCACTTTGCTGTGAGGAATTACCTAAAGGAATTACCTAAGTGGAATTGCTCTATTGTGAATTAAGTGTGTGTTAAAGAAACTGTAAAAAGTTTTCTAAGTGGCTGTGTGACCCTCCTCCAGGCAGGACTTTAGAGTTCCAGTTGTTCCACGTCATCTCCAGCGTGCTGGGTTCTCAGGCCTTCATCTCAGCCTTTCTAGTGGGTGTGTGGTGCTTTCTCATTGCACTGGGGACTTTGACTGCATTTTTTGCTGTTTGACTCCTGACAGCTTTTCAGCCTCACCCTTCCCTCTTCCCCCTGTGCCCCACATGTGGGCAGACAAGAAATGCTGCTACTCCTTTCCTTTGGTGCCCACGGAAAGGAGATTCAGCCCATGCAAGTCCTTGCCCTCATGTGAGGCCTCTCATCCCAGACCACCCCTAACCACAGTAAAATCCCGGGGCAGTCTCTTTTTCTTGCTCCTTCAAGTCATTTTGGATCTGCTGGAGAGGACTGCCCTGGGCTCCCCAGAGAATTCAGTTATGTCGGCAGTGAACATTTTTGTATCTCCTGGTGTTTGTGGCATTGTCAGTCTCAACATCTGGGCCAAATTTTGAGTGGAGGTCCCTCCTGCTTTTTCGGGGTGACCATGGCACTCACTGTGGTTTAATATGTTTCCCTGATGATTGGTACCATTGGGCACTTTTCCATACACTTCCATTCCTGTGTGAAGATCTGTTCAAGCCATTTTCCCATTTATTTGGGTTTCCTGTCTTTTTTAAATTTAAAAATATTTGTTAATTCAGTCAAAATAACAATAAATCACATTTACAAAAATTACCTTTTTTAATGAAAAAAACTATATTTCCCAAAACAGAAATTGCATTGACAAGTTGTGTTATTTTACATTCTTACACATCTCCTAAATGTCTGTTTCAATGGAAAATAGTTGACTTCTCATATCTACTTCTGCATTCATTACTATTATTATTAACATTTGAGACAGAGTATCACCCTTCACCCAGGCTGGAGTGCAGTGGTGCCTCCTCGGTTCACTGCAACACCTGCCTCCCGGGTTCAAGTGATTCTCGTGCCTCAGCCTCCCGAGTAGCTGGGATTACAGGTGTGGGCCACTATGCCCAGCTAAGTTTTTATATTTTAGTAGAGATGGGGTTTCACCGTGTTGGCCAGGCTGTTCTCGAACTCCTGGCCTCAAAGTGATCTACCCACTTCAGCCTCCCAAAGTGCTGGGATTACAGGCATGAGCCACTGCGCCTGGCCTATTATGTTTTGACATGTGGTTTTGATTGAGGTATATGAAGAAAATCTCACTTCACATAGACCTTTAGTTGGAAAATGGAGTTTAACAGACTTTCCTGAGGATTTCCCTCTCGGATGCCAGACCAAACTCAACAAGTGATAGTTTTTGAAAGTCAGTTGCAATGTGGAATCTGAAATCTTGTCAGTGAACTTTTTGTATACTTGTACATTAATATCCATTGATTATCTTGCACTTTGGCTCTATTTTCCGTGACAAATTTGAAAATATTTTATTACTGAACTATGCAGAATTTCCAAATATTGACATTTCATACACTATCCATAAATCACATTCATTCATTTCACCACCGATCTCCTTAGAAACATTAAGTAATCAGAACTTTTGAAGCTCACCTTCTGAATACTTAATGATTCCAAAGTTTTCCAAAGTTCTAATTTTTGCTTGAAAACATGAATTCTGTTACTGGCAACAGTAATGGACTTGCATCCTTCATTTTCAAGACAGCTTCTGCTAACTATTCTAGTCTGAAAAATCAGTTTGTCCACCCATCATTCTTTCAAGCCAAATGCTGTTCCATGCAGCTGGTCCTGCGCAGCCTCCCGAGCGCTGTGCCTTGAGACAACCATCATGCAACAACACGGAACAGCAATGCTTTGTGGACTCCATGCATTTCATCACTCAGAATACCAAAGAGGCATTTTTTTATAGGGGCAGGATGAAGAAGATTAATAAAGTTAACTATATTTAGTGCCTCGTTTTCAGGACATTCTTTTTTTTTTGAGATGGAATCTTGCTCTGTCACCCAGGCTGGAGTGCAGTGGCGCGATCTTGGCTCACTGCAACCTCTGCCTCCCGGGTTCAAGCAATTCTCTGCCTCAGCCACCCCAGCAGCTGCGATTACAGGTGTCTGCCACCACGCCCGGCTAATTTTTGTATTTTTAGTAGAGATGGGGTTTCACCATCTTGTCCAGGCTGGTCTTGAACTCCTGACCTTGTGATCCACCCGCCTCAGCCTCTCAAAGTGCTAAGATTACAGGCGTGAGCCACCGTGCCCAGCCGTCCAGGACATTCTTAAGGGAAATTGCCTTTTTTTCTTTTAACCCCCAGTGTGTGGCAGGGAAGAATGCTACCACTACTAATTTGGTGCTGGTTCCCCTGCCTTGATCTGTGCCCTAGTGCCAGCCATTTTCTGTCATGGCTTTTGCACCCACAGTGCAAATATAAACAAAGTTGTTCCAGAAGAACCATGAGATTCAATAAAGTTATTCAACTCTGAATATTTATCACCACTTACATTTGTTGCTGAGCATTCACATTTAAAAAAATCCTTTGAAGAGTAGTGGGTGCTGATACAAGTCCAGCCAGGTCTGTAGATTTGCTCATTTGTTCGGTGAAAGTCAAATTCTATAAACAAGATACCAGCTCAAACCATATGTTTGCAGTTGAGTCTTTAACTTGATGAGTCAGAGTAACATCGGAAGTGGCACTGCCCTGATTTTGCCTGATGTTTCACCCAGTCGGCATTCAGCAGTGTCAGCTACTCAAGAGAAACTGTGCACATTAAATATGTGCAGTTCCTTGTGTATCAATTGTAACTCAATCATGCTGTGAAAAATAAATTTTAAGAAGAGTTTTTACTGTTTCTGCTTCTGTGTGAGCTTCTCCAGCCAAAGCACTATGATAATTTACCCTGTAAGAGACTTCAGTGACTTTCATTTCAAGTTAGAAAAACTGGAACAATTTTTCGCTTTTGAAGAGCTCATAGTACATACATTTAAAATGTTCCATTTTTGTCTTTAAACACTGAATGATTAGTCTCAAATGTTACCTGACTTTTTTAAGTGATAATTTATTTTTTGATTCTTGATACAAATTATTTAACAAATATCAGGCCAGGCACAGTGGCTCATGCCTGTAATCCCAGCACTTTGGAAGGCCGAGGTGGGCGGATCACCTGAGGATGGGAGTTCGAGACTAGCCTGACCAATATGGAGAAACCCCGTCTCTACTAAAAATACAAAAAAAATTAGCCAGGCATGGTGGCACAAGTCCGTAATCCCAGCTACTCGGGAGGCTGAGGCAGGAGAATCGCTTGAACCCAGGAGGCAGAGGTTGTGGTGAGCCGAGATCATGCCATTGCACTCCAGCTTGGGCAACAAGAGCAAAACTCCGTCTAAAAAACAAACAAACAAACAAACAAAAAACTATATATATATGTGTGTGTATATATATATATCAGTATTGCAGCTACAGTGTATTCTTTATCTCTGTTACTTGCATTTTTATTTTCTTCTTTTAAAATTTATTTTATTTTATGCTTTTAGAGATGAGGTCTTTCTATGTTGCCAAGCTGGTCTTAAACTCCTGGGGTCAAGTAATCCTCCCACTTTGGCCTCCCAAAGTGCTGAGATTACAGATGTGAGCCACCACACCTGGCCCATTTTTATTTTCTTCATGGTGCTTTTGCCTTTAGATGAACAGAAGATTTTTAAATTTTCATCAAGTCCTATTTATAATTTTTGAGCAGTTAGTGCTCTTTTAATGTTATGAAGCTATTTCCCTTCTACCTTTTAGAAGTGCTTAAATTATGTTGGGCCTAAAGCTACCTCTTTTTGTATTTTAAATTTGAATCAAAAGGTCTCTCCATACATAGTGAACTGGAACAGGTTGTAACCTACTCTTGTGCCAAAGGCTGCCAGCTGTTCAAACCACGTTCAAATAAGGCACATGCCAAACTGTAACCAGTCCAATTCTGTATCTCTCTTTTGTTTTCTGTAGATCACTTTCTTTATTCTGTCCATAAATCCTCTCCCACCATGCAGCAGCAAGGGAGTCGGTTCAGGGGCTGCCTGATTTGCAAATCGTTCTTTGCACAGTTAAATTCTGTTCAAATTAATTTGCCTGAAGTTTTTCTTCCAACAAAACTTAAAAGACATATGTTTTATGCTTAGGTCTCTAATCAATCTCTAATTTTAAGTATGGTATGAAGCAGTAGTTCAGGTCCATTTCTTTCTGTAAGTTTATTCAGTTTCCCCAGAAAAATTATTGATAAGAATCTTATTTCCCCCATTCAATTGCCTTACTACTTTTAACAAAAAACAGCCAACTATGTATGTGTGAGTCTGTGGATTCTCTCTTCTGTCCCATTTTTCCATTTGTCGGCTTTGCATGAGCAGACAACTATCACACTGTTGGGATTACTGAAGCTATCCTAAGTTTTTGAATCTTTATATAAATGTTAGGACCGATGTCTTAATTTGTACAAAAATGCGTGTTGGGATTTTGATGAGAAATTACATTGAATCTATAGATCGACCTTGTGCAAATTGAAATTTTAACGATATCCAGTACCTGATCTTTGTAAATAGTGTATCCTTCCATTGATTTGTTGTTGTTGTTGTTGTTGTTATTTTTTTGAGACAGAGTTTCACTCTTGTCCCCCAGACTGCAGTGCAATGACGTGATGTTGGCTCACTGCAACCTCTGCCTCCCGGGTTCACGCGATTCTCCTGCCTCAGCCTCCTGAGTAGCTGAGATTACAGGCGCCCGCCACCATGCCCGCCTAATTTTTGTATTTTTAGTAGAGACGGGGTTTCACCATGTTGGCCAGACTGGTCTCGAACTCCTGACCTCAAGTGATCCACCTGCCTCGGCCTCCCAAATTGCTGGGATTACAGGCGTGAGCCACCGCACCCACCATTTTGTGGTCTTTATCTGAGAAATGTTTGTAGTTTTCAGTGTATGTGTTTTGCATGTTATTTGTTAAATTTATTCCTAAGTGTTTTATACTTTCAATGCTATTTATTTCATTTTGCAAATGGGTGTTGCTTTTTTTTTTTTTTTGAGACGGAGTCCTGCTCTGTCGCCCAGGCTGGAGTGCAGTGACGCAATCTCGGCTCACTGCAAGCTCCGCCTCGCGGGTTCCGCCATTCTCCTGCCTCAGCCTCCCAAGCAGCTGGGACTACAGGCGCCCGCCAGCACACCCGGCTAATTTTTTGTATTTTTAGTAGAGACGGGGTTTCAGCGTGTTAGCCAGGACGGTCTCACTCTCCTGACCTTGTGATCCGCCCGCCTCGGCCTCCCAAAGTGCTGGGATTACAGGCGTGAGTCACCACACCTGGCTGGCTGTTGCTCTTTAATAAAACACAATTGATTTTATATGCAGAACTTTTATACTCCAAACTTGTTTAATTCATTCACTAGTTCGTGTAGATTTTTGTAGATTTCTTTGTTTTTCATATACACAGTCAAGCTATCTGCAAATGCAGATGGTCTTCTTACTTTCTAAACTATCTTAGTATTTTATTTCATCTTTTTTCCTCATTGCACTGGCTAGGAGCTCCAATACAATGTGGAATAGAAGCATTGGGAATAGAAATCCTCCTCCTGTTGCCAATTTTAGGAAGGACATATACAATAATTCATTATTAATTATAATATTAGCTGCACTGGGTTTCTTTGCAGACTTTTAAAAATCATATTGGGGAAATGTATTTGCTTGAAAGTTTATTATCATTAATGGGTATTGAATCTCATCAAATGTTTCTTTGTACAACAGTTCAGTTGAGCATGTACTTTTTCTCCTTTATTCTATAAATGTGATTAATTCTTTGGATTTATTTTTAAATACTAAAGCAACATTGCATTCCTGGGATAAATCCCCCTTGGTCATGATATACCTTTATATATCTTTTACCTTTTGCATATGTTTATGTCTTTGATGGTGATGATGGTTTCTGGATGTATACTTACCCAAACTCATCAGGATGTATATGTTAAATATATACTGCTTTTTATATGTCAATTTTGCCTCAATAAAGTGGCTTAAATATTTTTTCTTTTTTTTTTGAGATGGAGTACCGCTCTGTTGCCAGGCTGGAGTGCAATGGCACGATCTCAGTGTACTGCAACCTCTGCCTCCCAGGTTCGAGCGATTCTCCTGCCTCAGCCTCCCGAGTAGCTGGGACAACAGGCACGCACCACCACACTCAGCTAATTTTTGTATTTTTAGTAGAGATGGGGTTTCACCATGTTGGCCAGGATGGTCTTGATTCCTTGACCTCGTGATCTACCCACGTTGGCCTCCCAAAGTGCTGGGATTACAGGCATGAGCCACCATGCCCAGCCAAATTTTTTTAATTAAAAAAAGCCCACATGAAATATCTTATGTGAGCACAACAGTATTATAATAAATTAGAAATCGTTATATTATACCTTTTATATATCTCTATATTTATTTTCTCTATACTTATACCTTTTATATATCTCTATATTTAGAGATTATACCTTTTACATATCTATTTATTTATTTTATTATTATTATTATTTTTGAGACAGAGTCTCGCACTGTCGTCCAGGCTGGAGTGCAGTGGTGCGATCTCAGCTCACTGCAACCTCCGCCTCCCGGGTTCAAGCCATTCTCCTGCCTCAGCCTCCCAAGTAGCTGGGACTACAGGCGCGCACCACCATGCCCAGCTAATTTTTGTACTTTTAGTAGAGACGGAGTTTCACAGTGTTGGCCAAGATGGTCTCGATCTCTTGACCTGATCTGCCTGCCTCAGCCTCCCAAAGTGCTGGGATTACAGGCATGAGCCACTGGCGCCCGGCCCTTCTATATTTATTTTAAACATTTTATATATCTCTATATTTATTTTCATATATTTTATATTATATATGATCTCTATATTTTCATATATTTTATTATATATGATATTGGTATATTTATTTCCATATATTTTATTAAAAATTTTTGCATCTCTTGTTCTTGAAGAATATTGGTCTCTATATTTACTTTGTGTAATGTATTGGTACCAAAGTTACACTGGTCACTTAAGTTAGAAAGTATCCATTCTTTATTTCTAAAAATACTTTTACAAAATTGATATTTCTTTCTTAAATGCTTCAAGAATTCACTAGTGAATTCACTATTGTCTTGAAGTTTTCTTTTTGGAAAGGTTTTTCATTATGAACTCTCTTTAACATATATAGAGCTACTTAGCTTTCTCTTCTATGTCAGGTTAATGAATTGTGGCTTTCAAGAAATTTATTTTATCAGTTATTTAATATATTGGCATAAAGTTACTCATAATATCTTATTATAATTTTTAATATCTCTGGGAATTGCACTTATGCCCCATTTTATTCCAGGTATTAATAATTTGTGCTTTATTTTTAGGGATTTATTCACTTTAATTTCTTTTTAAATGTTCAAATTTTTGTTTTAATTTTCTCTATTTTTTTCCTGTTTTACTGACTTCTTTTCCTTTCTTTACTAGTGCATTACTTCTATTTATTTTTAGTTTATTTCTTCTTTTTCTAGCATCTTAAGTGAATCATTAAGTTTAATAATTTATTGTTTAAGCATTTTTCATTCAGTACTTCCTTAGATAGATCTCCTATTTTTTGGCATTTGTTTTCATAATTGTTTAGTTCAATAAGTTTCCTGATGTCCATTGTAATTTCTTCTAGTAACCATGGATTATTTAGAAGTGTGTAATTTAATTGTAATGTTTGGTGATTTTTCTCAGTACCTGATTTCTAACTTATTTATTTATTAATCTGTCTATTTATTTTTGAAACAGAGTCTTGCTCTGTCATCCAGGCTGGAGTGCAGTGGCACGACCTCGGCTCACTGCAACCTCCACCTCCTGGGTTCAAGCAATTCTCCTGCCTTAACCTCCTGAGTAGCTGGGATTACAGGCGCCTGCCACCACACCCAGCTAATTTTTGTATTTTTAGTAGAGATGGGATTTCGCCATGATGGCCAGGCTGGTCTCAACACCTGACCTCAGTGATGCACCTGTCTTGGCCTCCCAAAGTACTGTGATTACAGGTGTGAGCCACCGCACCTGGCCCTGATTTCTAATTTATCATAATACTATTGTGCTCACATAAGATATTTCATATGGGTTTTTGTAATTAAAAAAATTAAGCCACTTTATTGAGGCATCATTGACATATAAAAAGCAATACATATTTAATGTATACATCCTGATGAGTTTGGATAAATATACATCCAGAAACCATCATCACCCTCAAAGACATAAATATATCCATCACCTCCCAAATTTCCTCCCACCTCCTTTATTCTTATTTGTTTTTGTATGGCTTTAATATTTTAAAGTATATTGAAATTTATTTTTATTTCCCAGAACTCTGCCATTTTTACTCTGCCATTTTGTGGTGTAATACTCTATAAATGTCAGTTCAGTCAATTTGACTTGTTCAGATCTTTTACATTCTTACAGTTTTTTTAGTATTTCATTAATTACTGAGATAATGGCATTGAAACATCCAACTATGATGTGTGTTGATACAGGTTTTTATTTAGTTCTGACAGATATTGCTCACCGCATTTTGAAGCTGCTACAGATAAATGCACATTTAGAACTGCTGTGACTTTTTGATGAATTGACAGTTTTATCATTAGGAAGTCTCTTTCTCTGGCATTTCCGGTTTCTTCAAGTATATTTTATTTGAAATGAATATAGTCACACAAGCTTTACTATGTTTAGTGTTGTGCATATCTGTGTCTATCTATTCGAATTGTATATGTTTTAGTACATATGTAGGTCTTGATTTATATTTATAATGTCTGTATTTTATTTATTTAGTTTATTTACATATAGTATAATTACTAATATAGTTTAGTTTAAATCTATCATCTTACTATTCATTTTCTCTTTGCTCCATCTGATCATGTCCCAGGAATTCATGTCCACTCATGTCTTTTGCTTAGTTTTTATTTTTTGGTAAGATTTTCTTCACTGTTTTTAAAAGCATATAGACACACACACACACACACACACACACACACACACATACCTGATGTTAACCAATTATCTATGAACAGGTTACTAATGTTTTTCAGATTTATTATATGCATTTTGACTTACGTTATTTTCATCATGCAAAAGTTCTTTAGGTCAATTTTTAACAACCCCTTTCTTATTTTATATGAACTTTTTATCCTGGAAACATTACCCTTGACACTAGTTAACAAGTAATTCTCACATATTTTCTTCTAACCGTCTCTTGCATAATTCCAGATAACTACATAAAGAGCTTTCTAATTTTTAAACACATGAAATTGTTGGCCAGGCGCAGTGGCTCACACCTGTAATCCTGGCACTTAGGGAGGCTGAGATGGGTGAATCACCTGAGGTGAAGAGTTCGAGACCAGCCTGGCTCTCATGGTGAAACCCCGTCTCTACTAAAAATACAAAAATTAGCTGGATTTGGTGGCACATGCCTGTAATCCCAGCTACTTGGGAGGCGGAGGCAGAAGAATTGCTTGAACCGAGGAGGCAGAGGTTGCACTGAGCTGAGATCATGCCACTGCACTCCAGCCTGGGCAACAGAGCAAGACTTTGTCTCCAAAAAATAAAAATAAAAATAAATAAATAAATACGTGAAATTGTATTGTTTCATTTATTGATACACTCTGTGTACTCAACCCATAATTAATGGGTTGCTCTAGTCTTTTGCTACTACAGAAAATGAATGAATATTCATTCATTGCAGTGAAAAGTTTATTACAGTGAATAACTTTTTAAATAAAAATTTTACACATATACAAGTATACTTAGAGGATAAATTTGTGATTATGAAACAGCTGACTGAAATGGTAAGAGAAAATGTACCTTTTGTAGGAAATGTTATGAAAGTACCTTTTACCCAACGACTCTACCAACGGAAATGAATAACTACCTTTTTTTAAGAAATCAGTCTTACTATGTTGCCCATACATTTTTTAATTAAAATTTTAATCTTAGTCATTCTAATTGTCAAAGAAATGGAATTGAAGTTTTGATTTGCATTTATCCCATTATAAATATGTATGAAAATATGTTCATCTAAGAGTCATTGTATTTTCTTTTTCTGTGAACTGTAACCTCATACCCTTTGCACATTGTTTTCTGTTGGGTTTTTGTTTTATATCTTGATCATTTTTAGAACCCGAAAATATTGAAATTCGCCCTTTGTATCTGGTAAGAGTTGCAGATTTTCCATTTTTCTCTGACCATTTATCATTTGAATTTGTTCATTGTGTTTCTTCTACTTAGGAATGAAGTTCACTAATGAATATTCTAGTGCCAGAACATTTCAGCTAATTAACAGAGGAGAAATAGTATGATTAGAAAATCACTACTTTGTAACTCTAATGAGGACTATGTCTAGGCAACGAACATCAATGGATACCAAGTATTTAACAGGTTGATGAGGAACCTGTATAACGGATGACTCAGGCTGATAATACTTGGACCCAATAATCAATTTTGATATCACTAAACAGACATTGTGCTTTCTGTTTTGATGCAAAGGGAAGTACACAGTACTATAGTGAAATATTCTCAATAAAACAAAAATGAAATATATCAAATCTGTAGATACAGTTAAAAGTTCATGCAAAATATAGAGGATGGAGATACAAGTAAAGTGAAACCATGAGGAAACCGTCTGTCAAATCCAGATTATGAAAAATTTGGTAGGCCAGGCACAATGGTTCATCCCTGCAATCCCAGCAGTTTGGGAAGCTAAGGCGGGAGGATTGCTGGAGCCAGGAGTTCAAGAGCAGCTTGGGCAACATAGTGAGACCCTCTCTCTACAAAAAATTTAAAATCTAGCCAGATGTGGTTGCTGACACCTGTAGTCCCAGCTACTTGGGAGGCTGAGGAGGGAGGATCACCTGAGGTTACAGTGAGCTATGATCTCACCACTGTACTCCAGTCTGGGTGACACAGCAAAACCCTGTTCTAAAAAATGAAAAACTAAAAAATAGAAAAGAGGAAAAATCTATAGTAATAGTGACATGATCTCTTCAATTTTTAAACATAATAACAAAAAAGGTGGGGGGCAGCCCTCTCAGAGGAATAAGTAGCAGATTTATTGTTTCACCATCAACAATTGTCAAAGGGGAAGAAAATAAACAACTGTGTCCAGGTTTTGAAAAACAGACAGTACAGACTACAGTTCCTTTTATTTATTTATTTTCTTTCTTTCCTTTATTTATTTATTGGAGACAGAATCTTGCCCTTTGGCCCAGGCTGGAGTACAGTGGCTCCATCACAGCTCACCGTAGCCTTGACCTCCCAGGTCCGAACAATCTTCTCACCTCAGCCTCCTGAGTAGCTGGGACTACAGGCACACGCCACCACATGTGGCTACTTTTTGTAGAGACAGAATCTCACTATGTTGGCCAGGCTGAATGACTATAATTCTCAAGTGAAGGGAACAGAGCCATGAGCCAGGAAATGGAGCCCAAACGTAGAGCAGAGATCTTGCTGGGTGATGAAACCTATCAGATGTTGGGGCTTTTGAAGTGGCTGGATTTTATGTGGAAAGTCACCAGAGAGGAAAGAGTGGGGCAGGAAAGGAGCCCCAGGATTGCATGCAGGTCATGTGATGTCCTGGTTGTACACTAAGCTGAACTTGCACAAGGACACAAGGCAAGACCCTGAGAGCCCAGAGAGGATAAATAAAGGGCTGGAGCAAAAGGGAGAGGGGCACTTGGGGGCTGAATGGAGAACTCTAGATTGCACTGCTCCCAGATAGAGTTCAAGCAGTCAGAACAGAGATCATGCATGACTCTTTCTTTATATTTCCCATTGTTACGGTGTTTGTTCTTGTGTATAGTGTGAGAAACTGATCCGACTTTTTCAAATGGCTATGCCATTGGAAAAATAAATGGCTACATCATTTACTTAAAAAGTCCCCTTTTTAGCCCAGTGATTTGAGATATGAACTTTTTATGATTTACTAATTTTCCATAATATTTGGATTTTATTTGTGTGCTTGATTTTAGTTCTATCTCATTCATCTATTTGTTTACTCGTGGGCCATTATTATTGTTTTAATTACACAGTCTTTGCAGTTGTTTTAATATGTGGTGATGTTAATCCCCCTCGTTTCTCTTGATAGTATTTTTCTACCCTTGTGATTATTTTTCCATATGAACTTCAATATCAACTTGTCTAGATCCAAAAACCCAACCAAAAAAACCTACTGTTGTTATCTCAGTTGGGATTGCATTGACTTCATATGCTAAATTACCGGAGAACTGACATACTGATGATATTGAGGCATTCTATCCAAATGTCTCTGTATCTGTTCAAGACACTTTTATGTTTTTTAGAAATGTGTTACAGTGTTTTTTTGGTGTGTGTGTTGTTGTTTTTTGTATCTGAGACAGGGTCTTGCCCTGTCGCCCAAGCTGGAGTGTAATGGCATGAAACAGCATCCTGCAGCCTCAACTTCCTGGGCTCAAGCAACCCTCCTGCCTCAGCCTTCCTAGTAGCTGGGACCACAGGCACGCACCATCATGCCCAGCTAATTTTTTTTATTTTTTGTAGAGACAAGGGTCTCACTTTGTTGCCCAGGTTAGTCTCAAACTCCCAGGCTCAAGCGATCCTCCTGTTTTGGCCTCCCAAAGCATTGGGATTACAGGCGTGAACCACAATTCCTGGCCTACAAGTTTTCTTCTTACGGGCTTTGTACATTTCTTGGTAAGTTTATTCCTAAGTATGTTTTATTGCCATTGTAAATGTAGTTATCTCTGCCCTTATAGCTTCTGATTGTAATTTGTATGTGTGAAGGCTATTTATTTTTGTACCATTGTCTTCAAATTTTTAATATGTATTTTAAATTGCTTTGCCAAAGATATCAACACTTAATCCCCATTAGCATTATAGGAAAATTTATTATCTTACTGGACCTTTTCATTTTTGAAGCAGATTAATTTGTAAACTTTTACAAATTGATGAACAAAATTATTTGTTTCCATTTGAATTGATTTAATAACTGAAAAAGTTATTTTTCATGTTTTTATCACTTATAAACCTTCTATAAATTATCTTTAATTTCTCTTTTCCACTTTTCTGTTTCAGCCTCCTGGTATTTTTAAGGAAATGTAAGAGTGTGAATCAGGTACTGATGGTTTTGACTTCATTATGATCAGCATCTTTGGCTTCCATCAGAGTAGACACTGAACGTTTTCATCCAACCGGATGATGAGTGCATTCGTGAGTATTTATTTAGTTCATAATACATGTTCCTGCCACACTCCACTGTAATTTGTTTCAGACTGACTAACATAATGAGAAATCTTACCAAATATAAATGGCACTGCAGATCAAAACCCACTTGATTTTTCTCATTTTATTCTGGGTTCTGGAGAGAGACTAATTATTACTGCCAAAATAAATGTGTGTCATAAGTGAAGGCTTATTTGCTATGGAAATACTCATTATTTCCTATTGGCCTACATCACATCCCAAAATTACCTGTGAACACTGAGAGGGATAATTGGTTACCATGGAATTTTCCAACATGATATTTAATATAGTTCTATTCCTTTTGTATTCCCTTTTAAAGGAACTACATAAGAGATGAAATCCTTTCTCCCTGGGACAGGTATCCTTTTGCGTTCTGCTTTTAATTTACATTTTAATTTGATGTTTTTCAGTCTTTTCAGGCCGAAACATAATATTTGTATCATTCTGAGAGCCTATAACACCATGCTTTCCAGCAATACAATTATGGAAATTTTTTTCCTCTCTCATATTGACATTGGGATTTGGAGGAACTTACTGCTACTCCTGATGCCTATTTACACCTTTTTGATATGTCCCCAGCAGAAGAAGCCCATGGGCTGGCTTTTCCTTCACTTGTCTGTTGCTAATACGATGACACTTCTCCACAAAGTTATTCCATTGGCAGTAAAATCTTTCAATATTAAAAATCTTTTGAATTATACTGGATGTAGGGAATTTGAATTTGTATATAGAGTATCTTGGGGACTTCCCCTATGTACAACATGCCTCCTAAGCATGGTGCAGGCCCTCTGTGGGAGCCCCAGCAAATCCAGGTGGGCGTGGCTGAAAGACAAAATGCTCAAAACACCACTATGCTTCTTCTTAAACTCTGGGTCATCAACAGTCTCATCTACGTCAGGCTTGTGCCGTTTGTT
This sequence comes from Homo sapiens, assembly GCF_000001405.40. Classification (NCBI taxonomy): domain Eukaryota; kingdom Metazoa; phylum Chordata; class Mammalia; order Primates; family Hominidae; genus Homo; species Homo sapiens. The sequence continues at coordinate 38,504,985 of NC_000009.12, read as the reverse complement.
GACACTATCAAATATGGCAGTGTCACCAAGAATCTCTCCATAAAAATGTGTTTAGCTACACCACACATGGGTAACGCAATTGCCGTCTCTCATACGAGTTATCACACTCCAGGACTTAATTTTTCTGGTTCTCATGAGTTGGGCCAGTGGCTACTTTGTGATTTTCCTTCACAGACACCAGAAAAATAATCAACATCTTCACAACAACGGCTGTTCCTCTAGAGCCTCCCATGAGACCGGAACCATCACAACTGCACTGCTGCTTATGATTTGCTTCGTTGTGTTTAATGTGAACAACTCGTGCCACAGCATTTACCTAAGTATGGTGAAGGAAAGGCATCAGTTGTGGACCGTCTCAGATTTGATTTCCTCGTGTTACCCCATATTTTGGTCCATTTTTGCTCATTGGTAGAGAAAGTCTTATCCTGAATTCAAAATCTATGAAGTGGAGAAAGTCGTCTTATCCCATAGATATGTCAAAGTAAACTTTCACCAATATAAACTTCTCCCAAAACAACATTCTATAAAGAGTTGGTATTCTGAAGAAATGATGGGATTTAGGTCTGAAAAATGAGATATTTCTCAGTTCACTGCATGGCATATAATCTAATGACCTTTACCTTCAGTAAAGACGATACTGCATAGCTTAGTATTTAATGTTTGTATACACAGATATAATCGTTTAATAGACAGGTAGATAGATAATTTTTCATGTCAGATGTCATAATGGACTTCTTGCAACTAGTCATTCAATATCCGTATTTTTCTTACTTTAATTACTCTGTGTTCAGCATGAAAAATCATTTCAAAAGGAGATCAGACACTCCAGGAAGCAGAGCATCACTCCCCACTTCTAAACTGTGGGCTTCACATAATGACATCCTACCAAGAACTCAGTATAGCAAAGGAGGAAAAAGAGTAACTTCACGTTGGAGAAACCTAACAAACACTGTCTCAGCCAGGTGATCAAGGCCAGTGTGAGCAGTGATCAGTCAAGTTGAAAGTGTGTATCATACGACAGGATGAGAATGGCATTTTACCTTGACATGTTCCCTCCCAAAACTAATAATCCCACTACATCAGACAAACCTCAGCTGAGAAACAGTTCCCAAAAACACCTGACTAGTACCCCCTAAAACCATCAAGGTCATCAAAAACAATGTAGGCCTGAGAAACGATCACAGCCGGGAAGAACCTAAGGACTCAGTGTCCTGTGGTATCCTGATATGGAATCCTGGAACAGAAAAGGACATTAAGTAAAAACCAAGGAAATAGAAATAAAGTATAAACTTAATAATGTATCAATATTGATTCAATAATTGTGACAAATGTAACATAGTAATGTAAGACATTAAAATGGGGAAAATTGGGTACGGTGTGGAGGAGAACTCTGTGTATTCTATTTGCAACTCTTCTGTAAATTTAAACCTATTTGAAAATTAAAAATTTATTTTTTAAAAAGAAAATTAAGAAACCTATATACTTAAATTTGAGGAAACAAAAATTACTTTCCTTGCCTAAAGTATGTGTTCTACATTTTAGGATTTACCTGAGATCCTAATGAATAGCCTTTTTTAATGTATACAATCTTATGTCACTAATTTAAATGTAAATATTTAAGAGTTAAAAGGTTAAGTCTATTAATTTTATTAACTTGGCCCTTGAAGAAGACTCATATAAGAAAGAGGATGTTTTGACTTAAATTATTTCTGTATAAAGCACTCTTTGATGAGGACAGTACACACTTCATATAATAACCAGCACAAAATAAAATTCCAGATAAATATTCATGCTATCAAGCATGTAAGAAAAAAACAATGCAGGCTTTTGCTTAATATGCTAAAACTTTCTAAGATTTCCCAGAGCCAAGCACATTTGTCTGAAGTTCAGTTTTTAAAAGTTATTTTAACTCTGTCCCCAGCTGACATGGTTGATGAGTTGGAAATGTCATAAATGAAGTCATATTTCAGCAAGTACAGTAGGAACGGAAGAGATAAAGGTCACAGCAATTTTAGTGATGAAAATTTAACTTCATTTAGTACTGTGTTTCAAGTGTTAAGCTAAGATAGAAATATTGTTGGTTTGTCAACATAACAGTATTTTGGTTCCCTGACCCTCTGCTATGTAAACAGCCCTTCCATCTTGCACAAATGCACGCACGCGTGTAAACCTAGAGAAGAGAAGATGATGGTGGTTGCTACGGGTGAGTTGGAGATTTGAGTCTCAGAATTTGGGTACAGGGACTCCTGGTTTTTAAAAGAATGGATTGGGGGAGAAAACTTGAATTTTTAGTCTCTTTTTGTAATACTTCAGGATCTTAAATTCTAATGTCATAAACCCAACTTGAATTAACTTGGGTAAAAGATGACTTTGTTGACTCACAAAAGTCAGAGGAAGAACACAGAGCAGCTATAATGTAGGAGGGTGACAAAATAATTTTGGTTAAAACTAGAGCTAGATAACGGCTGTTGTTATTTCCCAGCTTTACTTCATTTTTTTAATGATACAATATTCTAAATTCCCAGGAAGAAGTTCCAGTTGGCCCCCGATGGAGAAGTGCTCATGTGCGGTCCATCTAGTTGTAGACAGGGAATAAATTCATGTAAGAATCTATTACACCAGCAGGAACCATTTTGGTCAGGTGGAAAATTACCAGATGGGGCTTACCATCTCACAGAGAAAGAGTCTTGGGGTGATGTTCAGGTGATATACAGGCAATGTCTAATTTAGAACTTAGTAGAAAAATTGGCCAGGCACAGTGGCTCACGCCTGTAATCCCAGCACTTTGGGAGACTGAAGCTGGTGTATTACTTGAGGTCAGGAGTTCAACACCAGCCTGGCCAACATGGTGAAACCCTGTGTCTACTAAAAATACAGAAATTAGCCAGGCATGATTACAGGTACCTGTAATCCCAGCTACTTGGGAGGCTGAGCTGGAGGAATCACTTGAACCCGGGAGGCAGAGGTTGCAGTGAGCCGAGATCACGCCACTGCACTCCAGCTTGAGAGACTCCATCTGAAAAAGAAAAATCAGAGGCTAACCCATATGACAACTTTGTCTTATTGGAGCTATTGATGAATGTCTGAGTTTTGACACACTTAAGCAATGATGGAGATCTTGTTGCACTAACAGTGTAAGTTGAAGGCCCTATGACATACTTTGAAGGGAATAGTTCCTTTCTCCAGTTCAGACCATTTTACTTGAGTCAGTCAAGTGCATACACAAGGGGTTTTACAGAAATAAAAATAATTTCATTTATGTACTCACAATATACTTATTAAGTTGTTGACATACTTGAGGCCTGCTCTAGGAACTGGTGATACAATGATGAACAAGATAGGTTATGTCCTTTTCCACATGAAGAACATATTTTAGTTGGTGAAACAGACAATAAAAAAGGAAAACCTATGTGTGTTGTAGAGATTGTGACAACTTTTACATGAAAACAAAAATATAGAAACTGTAAAAGAAAAGGGAAAGGATTTCGCTATAAAACATTAGATACCTTTGAGGGACTAAAACAACCCAAATCGACTAAGAAAATTTATTCACAGTTCATATGTATGATAAAAAAAGCTCTTCCAAGCTGATGAAAAGTCAAAAATCCATTTGAAAAACTGCAAATTATGTGACTAGCACCCAAATATACAGATACATAAAGCAAATATTGACAGATCCAAAGGGAGAAATTGAGTGCAATACCATAATAGTAGGAGACTTCAATTCTCCACTTGTAATAATAGAATATCCAGGCAGAAGAGCAATACAGAAACAGCTGACTTGATCGATGCTATATTCTGAATGGATCCAACAGACACATACAGAACTTCCCACATAATAGCAGAATACACATTCTTCCCAAATGCCCACAAAACTTTCCTAGGATCACATTAGGTCACAAATCAAATCTTAACTAATTTTAAAAAGTTGCAAATCAGCCGGGCGCGGTGGCTTATGCCTGTAATCCCAGCACTTTGGGAGGCTGAGGCAGGTGGATCACAAGGTCAGGAGTTTGAGTCCAGCCTGGCCAATATGGTGAAACCCCGTCTCTACTAAGAAAATGCAAAAATTAGCTGGGCATGGTGGCATGTGCCTGTAGTCCCAGCTCCTCAGGAGGCGGAGGCAGGAGAATCGCTTGAACCTGGGAGGCAGAGGTTGCAGTGAGCCAACATTGTGCCAGTGCACTCCAGCCTGGACAACAGAGTAAGACTCCGTCTCAAAAAAAAAAAAAAAAAGGTTGAAAATCATACCGAGTATCTTTTCCTACCACAATGGAAGAAAATTAGAAACCAATAATGGTAAGAAAACAGGAAAATTCACAAATAGATGGAAACTAAATAATACACTCTTGAGCTACCAGTGGGTCAAAGAGAAAATGAAAAGGAAACTTAAAAAATATCTCAAGATAAACAAAACTGTTTAAATGAATGATGTTGAATCTCAGCTGCTTGCCTGACACTGGAACTAAACTTAATAGGTAGTGTATGAAGCAGACTTCACTGCCTGCCCACTTATCTAAGTGACTGAGTGACTAACTTTATCACCAATCATTTCTGACCTGATGGTCAGGATGACAGGCCGCTGGGTTGTGTAACCCATCCAGTCAGAGAAGTCAGGGGGTGTTGTCAGAGCAAGTTGCTGCCTGTGCTGCTGCTTCATGCCTGGGCTCCTCTGCATTCCAGATCCATGCCCGTCCGCTCGCTTGAGCACACTTACAGATGCTAGGATCAGGTAACCAGCAAATAAATATTGTGAGATGCCTCCAGCCCCTTCCTAACCTAAGAACCATCAGTGACCTGCAGAGAGTCCATGAGCCACTGAGTTTGTGGGTGTGCGCATGTTGCTGTGGTGAGAGCTTATGGTTTCCATCAGATTCTTGATGTCATTGCTAACTTAAATGTCCCAAAATTGTCAAAAAAAACACTACTTAAAAGAGACTCCCCCGCAAAAAATGCTCATGAATATCATAATCTATTCAAAATCCATTTCACAGCCACTGCACTGTATTCTGCTGCTCTCTGGGGTCAAATGAGGGGGAGAAAGAGCAGGACTCTGAGTTCACCCCCGAGCTCCACTTGGAGCTCTGTTGTTCGGGGCGGCCTCTGATTCTTGTTATTCCCACTCAGTGTCCAGAAGGGGAGGTGTGGGCTGAAGTCTTTCAGAGAAAACCCAGGAGAGCCTGACAGCCTGTCTTGCTGACGGCCTCCTTATTCCAGCTGACTGTGACTTCTCCCTTCATGACAGATACTCTTCATTCTCAAGTCAGGGAAAAGGACCCTGATAGGACACCATCCTGTCGGAGCTAACAGACGTGCACCTTTGAGAGTGATCGTTGAGAAGGTAATTTAGATAGATTTCTGTCTCTGAAAACGTCCGTTCATTTGTGTTGTAGAATTACACTCGTGTGTGTTTGTGCTCTGCATAGCAGTGTGTGCATCCTATAGTCTTTTCACAGAAGTGTATGTGTCTGTAAAAACATAGAGTGTAATTTCTGAGCACATAGACACTGAGTAAACTCAGTGTATGATTTAATAACACTTAATCTTTACTAAATGAAACTTGTTACTCATTTTTAAATGTAATACTTTTTGTAAGAAGCAAGTATGAATATGAGAATCAACTTGACCTGTTTCACTGGATAGCACCAACTCAGGATGCTCACACAGGAGCCGTAGAAGGCATCCTTTACCTCTTTCTTCTCCTAACCCCCCAAAACAAAAACTGATTCTTTTCCATTTTTGCCTCTTAGGTACCTAACATTTTTCCTTCCTTCTCTTTATCCCTGAGGCCATCATCTTATTCCAGCAACCTCAGGACTTATTTCAGAAGCCCCTTAACTGCTTCTAATCTGAATTCTTTCAGTCCACTGTTTGCACAACCCCCACAGTGATTCTAAAAGGCTCAATACCTGTGACTACCACTCTGCTGATGACAGTATCATACCAAGCTACTTGCACTCAAAAACAGCTATCAAAATTGACAACATGTGACACAACTCTTTTCAAGCATTGCACACAGCAGGCGTTTGGGGACAGTGATCCTTGAGGGAAGAGAAATGCATGATTTCGGTCCCTCTATCCTCTGTCTCTTTGCTTTATGGACACTTTCCTGCTGTGGCACAATGAGATTAAGTTCAAATGGAGCAATGGTCTTGCTGAGCTGCTGAAGGAATTTGAATCTGGGTCAGGATTAAGAAATGGAATCTCTAGTATGTGGGAAGGAGAGGTGTGGCAAAAGCTTGTTTGGAATTTGTGCTGTTTTTACTCACAACACTTTGGACACCAAATGTGTGGGGGGTTTTCTCACACCAACCAATTATCCAACTCTCCAGACACCAAACACCTGTCCAGTGACTCAGTTCACTTCTGACACTAAGCTCCCAGAGTCAGCATCAGACTCTACAGGAAACGAACTCAGTCCCACAAGTGCCCCCTCACTTCAGATGCCAGTTGCAAGTACTGAGTCCCCAGGTAACCCACCTTTCTGTCCAGCGTGGCTACAAAGTCAGGCGATTCCCAAAGCACTGCACCCTTTCAGGTGTGATAACTTGCTGGAATGGCTCACAGAACTCAGGAAAACACTTTACTTAAGGCTTAATGGTTTATTCTAAAAGATACAACTCAGGAACAGCCAGATGGAAGAGATGCATAGGGCAAGGTATGGGGGGTTCTGTGGAGCTTCCATGCCTCCCCAGGCATGCCACCCTCTCAGCAGCTCAGGGTGTCTGTTTGTCACCCCAGAAGCTCTCTGAATATCATTGTTTGAGCATTTATAGAGGGTTCAATCTTTAGCACCCCTCATCCCTTCCCTGGAGGTTGGATATTAGGGCAGAAAGCTCCAACTCTCTAATAATTTGGTGTTTCTGCGAACTAGTCCCATGCTGAGGCTGTCTTGGGGTTCACCCTAAGTCACCTCATTACCATAAGTTCAGGTGTGATGAAAAGGGGCTTGTTATGAATGACATAAGACACTCTTGTCACTCAGGATATTCTAAGAGTTTAGGAGCACTGTGTCAAGAACTGGGGACAAAGAGCAGATATATTTTTTCATATTATACCACAGATTTCAACATGTAATAGTGAGCAAGAGCAAGTCTAATTACACAGGCTGAGGCTTCCTGAGCCTAGCAGAGGTCATCTGCTTGGGCTGAGAGGTATGTGAGCACTTCTGGCTACTAAGAGAGGAGAGACCTTAAGGAACACCTTGGCATTTCAATGAAACTACAGAAGAGTGAACACTACATCTTAGCAAAAGGACCATGCCCTAAGATTAAGCTCAATGCCATCATAAACCCAGCCTATCAAAGTATGAACAAAGCCACACAAAAAGGGTTTCCAGTAACTCAACTGACTGCCTAAACAAAACTCAAGGTCCTAGAGATGAATAAAAACATAATCCAGAAACCACATAACATCGCATCCTCATTGTCCAGCATCCGGTCATGAACCAGTAGACCTGGGAACCCGGACAATGGAATCCAAAATCCCGGGAGGAAGTACCCGTAAAAATACCTGAGAGGATATAGATCTTGGAATTAGCAGACAGATTTTGAAGGAGCTATTTTGAGTTTACGGACTTAAATATTATTATAAGGAGTGAGCAGATGGGAAATTTCAGTAAGCTAAAAATTTTTTTTAAAAAAAGGAAATCCTTGGCTGGGAGTGGTGGCTCACGCCTGTAATCCCAGCACTTTGGGAGGCCAAGGCGGGCGGATCACGAGGTCCAGAGATTGAGACCATCCTAGCTAACACGGTGAAACCCCGTCTCTACTAAAAATACAAAAAATTAGCTGGGCGCGGTGGTGGGTGCCTGTAGTCCCAGCTACTTGGGAGGCTGAGGCAGGAGAATGGCGTGAACTCGGGAGGTGGAGCTTGCAGTGAGCCGAGATCGCGCCACTGCACTCCAGCCTGGACGACAGAGCGAGACTCCGTCTCAAAAAAAAAAAAAAAAAAGGAAATCCTTGAACTTTAAAGCTGAGTATTTGGAATGAAACGTTACTGAATGGCTTATTTGTGAACTTGAAGATAAATCCATAGAAAGTATCCAAACTGAAAATTGGAGAAAAGAATAGATTGGACAAATGTGAACAGAGACTCAGAAGCACTAATTTCACAAATTATGAAACCTATGTGTAATGAGACACAGGGGAAGGACTAATGGCAAAATCTTTGAAAAAAATAATGGCTAAAGATTCTCAAAATACAGTGGGAAATACCACTTATAGACCCAAGAAGCTCAGTAAAACCCAAAGAAGGTAAATATGAGGAAAACCATATCTAGGCAGAACATAGAAAAACTTTTGAAAACCAGAAAGAAAAAGAAAACCTTAAATACTGAAAGAGGGAATAAAAAGGCAAGCTACCCCATGGAGAACACCATACAAATGACAGCAGGTTTCTCATCAGAAACAGTGGATGCCCAGCTATGAGGGAATGATGTCTTCAAATGATGAAATTTTTTAAAAGTATAAACCCAGAATTCTCTATCAAGGAAATTATATCTCAAAAGTGAGGATGAAATAAAAACATTTAAATAAATAAAAACTAAGATATTTCATTGCCAGCAGATTTGCACTAAAAACAAAAAAACTGAGATAGTTTTTCAATCTGAAGAGAAGTCATATCACACAGCAACTTGGATACATAGAAATGAATGAAGAGCATTAGAAATGGTGAATATATGGATAGGTTTTTTTTAAGACTACATTTTTTCTTAGCTTTTTTGAAAGACAGTTTAAGGCACAAATGACAGGATTATATCCATCATATGGGGTTTATTAATATGTAGCTATAAAATATATCACAACAATGACAAAAAGGACAGTAAATAAGTGGAATTCTATTGTTGAAAGGCTCTTAATGTGAAGTGGTCCAATTTTAACTCTAAATAGATTGCGATAAACTGAGGATACATATTGTAATCCCTAGCATAGCCACTAAAAGAATGCAATGAAGTACAATAAAAATCCAATAAAATAATAAAAATGGAATACTAAAAAAATTTGATTAATCCAAAAGATGGCAAGAAAAGTGAAATAGAGGCCCAAATGAAAAAACAAACAAAACACAGGGGGCAACTAGAAAATGAATTTTTAGGTGGTAATCTTACACTTAATCATATCAAAAATTGTATTCATACTGAAGTGGGGACAGTGGGCATTAACAACCGGTTATTTCAAGAGATAAAAGGTGATATATCACAATCTTAATACAGGTTAATTTCTCCAGGGAACGCAATCATCATAAAGATCGTTATACCTAAAAAGAGAACTTCAAAATACACGATACAAAAACTGAGAGAACAAAAACAAAACATAGACAAATCCACAATGTTGCTTGGAGATTTAACAAGTGTCATAGCGACATCTGTCAACTAGAGTAAACTATAGTGCCCTGTGTTGGTTAATTTTATATGTCAACTTAACTGGGCCACAATGTGCCCAGTTGTTTGGTCAAACGCTATTCTGGGTGTTTCTGCAAGGGTGTTTTTGGGTGAGATAAACATTTAAATTGGTTGACTGAGTGAAGCAGATTGCCCTTCCTGATGTGGGTGGGCCCCATCCAATCAGTGAGAGGCCTGAGGAGAACCAGAAGGCTGACCCACCCCCAAGTAAGGGAGGATTTCTGCTATCTAATGACCTTCAAAGAAAGACAGTGGCTTTCTTTATTTCCTGCCTTTGGACTCAAACTGAAACATTGGCTCTTAGGATATTGACGCTGCTGGCCTGTAGACTGGAACTATACCATTGGCTCTTCTGGTTCTTGGGCCTTAAGACTCAGACTGGAACTACACCATCAGGTCTTCTAGGTCTCCAGCCTGCCAACTCACCCTGCAGATCTTGGTACTCTCCGGTCTCCATAATTGCATGAGCCAACTCCAAATAAGTAAATAGATACTAGATAAGTAACCAAAAATTAGACAAATATCAATTAAGTAAATATACATGTACACACACATATACAGAAATCACAGATGCACAAACACACATACATACACACATACCCTATTGTGCTTTTCTAGAGAACCCTGACTAACACATGCCCAGTTGCTTCAGCAAACACCAGTCTAGATGTTGTGGGGAAGGTATTTTTTAGATGTGATAAGCATAGTTTGAGGCTTTGAGTAAAGGACATTAC